>NC_000001.11:117735653-118038683 GCF_000001405.40 Homo sapiens | reverse complement strand
ATGTAGCCTTTTCAGATTGACTTTTTTCATTTAGTAATATGCATTTAAGTTTCCTGTGTGTCTTTTCATGGCTTGATAGCTTATTTCTTTTGAAAACTAAATAATATTACATTGTCTAGATGTACCACAATTTTATTTTCCCACCCACCTACTGAAGGACATCTTGGTTGCCTCCAGCTTTTGGCAATTGTGAATAAAGGTGCTACAAATATTCGTGTACAGGTTTGTGTGTGGACATAAGTTTTCAACTCCCTTGGGTAAGCACCAAGGAGTGTGACTTTTGGATTATAGGGTAAGAGTATGTTCATGTTGGAAGAATCCACCAAATCGTCTTCCAAATTGGCTGTACCATTATGCATTCCCACAGTAATGAATGAAAGTTCTTGTTGCTCTATATCCTCACCATTATTTTCTGTTTTAGATTTTCTCCATTCTATAAGGTGTCTAGTGGTATCTTGTTGTTTTAATCTGCATTTTCTGGATAACAAATAATATTGAACATCTTTTCATATGCTTATTTGCCATTTGTATCTCTTCCTTGGTGAAGTGTCTGTTGAAGTTTCATGCCCATTTTTTAATCAGGTTTTTATTTTCTGGTTATTGAGCTTTAAGAATTCTTCATACATTTTGAGTAATAGTCCTTTAACAGATGTCTTTTGCAGATATTTTCTTCAACTCTGTGTCTTCTCTTTTTATTCTCTTAAAGCATTACCTTTTGTTCCATGGTTCATTTGAATTTCCCAGTCTAAAAATTATCTTTGCATGAGTTACATTATTTTAAATCAATATTGCCCCATCTTTATTATCTGATAATAGAGAAAATGGTGAACTGAAAATAAAACAAGTCAGAAAATTCACAAATTCTTTACATATACCTTCAGATGTGTGTTTTCTATTCATGATAGCAAAGAAATGGAATCAACCTAGTTGCTCATTAGTGGTGGACTGGATAAAGAAAATGTGGTACATACACACTACGGAATGTTATGCAGCCACGAAAAACTAAAACATATACTTTGCAGCACATGGATGCAGCGGAGGCCATTATCCTAAGCGAACTAACACAGGAACAGAAAAACAAATGCTGCATTTTCTCACTAATAAGTGGATTTAAACACTGAGTAAACATGGGCATAAAGATGGGAATGACAGACAGTGGGGCCTATTTAAGAGGGAAGGTTGGGAGAAGGGTAAGGATCAAAAAACTACCTATCAGGTACTATGCTCACTAACTGGGTGATGAAAGTGTCTGTACACCAAACCCCAGTGACATGCAATTTACCCATGTAACAAACCTGCACAGGTACCCCCTAAACCTAAAAATTGAGAAAAGAAAAAAAAGTGCCTTAACAATTTTGTTTTAAAATTATGTTTTGACTGAAACAATTTTTAAATTCTTTAAACTTTTAAATGTTTTAAAATGTAAAAAAGTTTAAGTGTGGGAATTTAAGAAAATGTTTTAAAATGTGGGGAAACTGAAACTGAACTGATGGTTTTAATTTTAAAAGCCATGTGGATGACCTACCAGATGAATAATCTGCTTATGGATATGCCATCAACCGATTGATTTCCTCTCTTCACTTTAACCTAAGGTCCCTAAAACAAGAGTTTCATATTCTTGTCTTTGTAATTCCACCCTACCTCTAACAACCCTGAGTGCATGGTCAAGCTAAACCAATTATTTTTTAAGTTGATTGTGGTAGAGCAGCTATGAACTCCATTCCCAGCCTTCCCACTGAGTCTTAGTTATATTTATTTTGAATTAAATGAAAATGTTCTTGATTCGATTTTGTATTTTAGAAGTATCAGATGCAAAGAATAAAGCTTTCAGCAAGTTTGGATCTTTTTCTGCCACCTTAGAAAATGGAATCTGCCTCTCGATAAGTTACTATGGATCAAATGGAATGGCACCAGGTGAAATGAACACAACAGCAAGGATAAGTGTGCCCCACAGCCAAGGGTCCCTGCCACTGCCCATTCTCAGTCTGCTCACTTGTCAATAACATGTTATGATTTAATGCTCCTCATTGTTTTTCCTGCAGGATGGTAATAGAAGAGGTGTGTGTGTGTGTGTGTGTGTGTCTATATATGTGTGTATACAGTATATATATATATAATCTTTTATACATAGATACAAAATAAAAATGCTTTGACATTTTATATAATCTTTTATATAATCACTTATACATATAAGATTACTTGTGTGATTATATATATACATGTATGTATACATGTATATACACACATATATACCAGTTATCCTTGTTAACTACCCCATAAAAATGAGCCTTTTGGTTGGGTGTAAAAGAAAGCATAAATTGCCAAGGAATCCTCTTGGTTTTCTTTGTGAATCCTGTTATTATAGAACGGTTCAGTGTGCTTCAGGACGTTAGCCTTAAAGGAGCTATTCAGTGGACATATTGAAAGATTTCTGTACCCCACTTCCTTCCTTCCTTCTTTCCTTCTTTCCTTCTTTCTTTCTTTCTTTCTTTTTCTGAGACAGGATCTTGCTCTGTCACTTAGGCTGGAGTGCAGTGGCACAATCATGCCTCACAGCAGCCTCAAACTCCTGAGCTCAAGCAATCCTCCCACCTCAGGCTCCTGAGTAACTGGGACTATAGGTGCATGCCACCACACCTGGCTAATTATTTTTGGTAGAGATGAAGTCTTACTATGTTTCCCAAGCTGGTCTTAAACTCCTGTGCTCAAGTGATCCTCCTACCTTGGCCTCCCAAAGTGCTGGGATTACAAACGTGAACCACTGCACCTGGCCTTCTACCCCATTTTCAATAAATAAATTATCCAACTGGAAGCTGTTTCTTTACAAACCACAAAATAGGATATCACTTTACGAAGAATCAATTGGGAAATCTGTGGCTTCCCATGCATTTTAGAGGGATCTAACCACAACATATTTTCTTAAAGCATTATAAAATCAAAGGATAAACTCTATGATGTATAAACTTAAAACTTTATGTTAGAGTAGATCATAGTGATCCAATTACCTGTCTTTCTATATAGTTTCTTTTTTGCAGAGATAAATTTTCAATGGATGATTATAATCTTATTTCTTACCTTGTGTCAAATATCCTAGTACTCTACTGAGTTTGAGAGTCCATTAGATTTCTTAGTATTTTTGCTTTATTGGAGATTTTGTGTTTTAATTTTGCCTTTGCCTTTGATTTGTTGTTAAGTCAGCAACTGGAGAAGTCATTTGATGCCTAACGAATTACATATTAAAATCCGTTATCACTACCCAGTCACTAAAAATTCCTACCTCTTCTTAATATAGGTTATCATTATTTTGGCTTAAGATATTTATACCTGCTATCAATTCTGTTGCTCCTACTCCTGAGTGATTTTATTAATCTTGATTTAGTCCTTAAATTAATATGTAATCAGTCCATTTTAAACAGATGTTCCTAATTTCAAGTTATGAATATGGCATTTGAAAATGTTTATAGTGTAGATAATAAGTAACATTTTACATCCTATATGTTTTTTTAAAAAGTTGAAGGTATAAGTCTTTGTAAAAATTATATGCGTATGTATATACACACACATTTCCTAAGGATTCATATATAACTGATATTTAAGAACTTTTTCTGCTAATGGCTTAACAAGTTTCCATTCCAGTTCTCCCCCTTTAATTGGGTAGGCACAGCTAAACATAATTTAGTATCCTTTTGGACAAAGAAAAAGTAGACAGTACAGCTATGAAATAGGCAAAAATATAAAGAAACCCAATCAAATCTTTGGACATTACTTTGTACCTTCTTGCTAAGAGGAATAGGTCATTCTTGCTTCTTACTGCCTTTCAGGGTGCCTACTGAATATACCTAAAATTAAGAATCTTAATCTTAATCTTAATCAGGCCCCAACTTATGTTTTACATTCTTTACCCAAACCCTGGATGACAACGAACCCCATCTATTTTCCCATAGAGAAGTATACCTTCCTACCCTATTATTTCTGTGCCTTTCAGTTCCTTGAATAAACTATGCTGTCTCTTACATCTGCCCATTTTCTCATGCTGTACCACTACTCAGAATACTTTCTCCTGACATGTGCACCACTACTTTCAACAATTAAACTCCCTCCCATTCTGCAAGCTACAGCATAGAGGTGTTACTTGCTCTGAGAAATGCTTCCCAGAGCAAGTGGCAGTAGCATGTGAACTGAGTCTTTGGAGGTGAGTGAGAATTGCCTATGCAAAAAATTGAAGGGAGGGAATTCTAGCTACCAGGAATAGCATGTGTAAAAGTCCAGTAGTGTAAAAGCATAGAAAGGCTTTTCCATTTATGGAAAGGTGAAGTGTTCAGTATAGCCACAGTAGACTGTACAAGGACATTTTGCAGTAGATACCCTTCTTCTGGGTTCCTAAGGCACTCAGTATTTCCTCTATCACAGACTGAACACACAGCATTGTACCTGACGGGTTCTAATCTGAACTACCCACTAAATTATACCCTCCTTATCTGTCTCATCCATCATTGGCTATCCATTTCATGGTACATAGTAGTAGGTACACAATAAATATTTACTGAATATTAGTAAATGGATGGGGATGAGGAGGGGAATTTCCAGATGCCTGAAACTGAACGCCATTCACTTGTTTATATACTGTACTTTCTGTGGGTCAAGCAACTTGCTGGCACTGAGCCACTAAGATGAATTAATTCGTGGTACATCTACACAAAGAACTCACTGTCTAATGAACAAGGAAAACATAAATAGAGCAATAATATCTGTCTTAGTGCTGGAAATTATACATAAACAGAGTACTGGGGACAGTCAACACATACTTGAGAGAAATTGTAGCATTTCAGATGGGACTTTAGAGCTGAGTGGAACTATCCAGGCACAGAAACAAGGAAAGGGAATTCTAGAACTTAAGAACCATGTTAATAAACACACAATTGTGTCAAAACATGGCATCTTCACAGAAAGGTGAAAAGTTCAGTGTGGCTGCAGTGGAGGTAGGTGAAGACCAGATTGTGAAGAATGTTATATGCCCTACATAGGCAGTGAGTGGCAGAGGACTTTAAGTAAGGGAGGTGACATGATCATATTTTACTTTAGGAGCATAATTTTAGTGGTAGTTTGGAGAGTACACTGAAGTGGTGGTATTGGAAGTGCTATGGTATCAGTTAGCAAAACGCTGCAGAAGACCCAGCAAGCAATTATGGGACCCTGAAATAAGACAATGGGAATAGATAGAAGAGGCATAATTTGGGAGGAAGATCTTAGGCCTTGATGGCTGGTTGGATGTGTAGGATGAGTCAAAAAAAGTAAATGCAAATGATCTCAATGTCTAACTTGGGGAACAGACTGCATAATTGCTCATGGCATTAACTGAAATTGAGAATGTAGGAGGCTTAATCTGCTTGGGAGAAGAGAGACTTAATTGAGTTTGAAATGTCTGTAGCACCACAACCAGGAGATGCCTTAAAAAAGTGAGAAATATAGGTCTGGAACTGAGAAGGAAGGTCATGCCTTGAGATGTTAATTTTGGAGTCATTAGCATGTAGATGACAATTGGAGCCCCAATGGTGAATGAGATCATCCAGATCTAATATATGTAAGAGAGTTGCTCAGCCCTGGCTGTGCATCACAGTCACATGTAGGGTTTCACAAATATAAATGCCTGGGCCTCATCTTCAATGAGTCTGATTCAGTAGGTCAAGGTGGGGCCCGAGCATGTTGTTTTTCTAATTTCATGAGTAATTATTACAGGCAAGGAGGATTGAGAACATAATAAACCCTGCAACCTAAAAACATTTAGGGGATTGGCTGAGAATGGTGGTTCATGTCTGTAATCCCAGCACTTTGGAGGCCGAGGTGGGCGGATCACTTGAGGTCAGGAGTTCGAGACCAGCTTGGTCAACATGGTGAAACCCCGTGTCTATTAAAAATACAAAAAAATTAGCCAGGCGTGGTGGCAGGTGCTTGTAATCCCAGCTGCTCAGGAGGCCGAGGCACAAGAATCACTTGAACCCGGGAGGAGGTTGCAGTGAGCCGAGGTTGCACCACTGCACTCCAGCCTGGGTGACAGAGTGACACTCTGTCTCAAAATAATAATAATAATAAATAAAAATAAATAAAAACATTTAGGGGACTGACAAAAGAGTAAGTAGAGGAGATTGAGAAAAAAAATGACTAGAGGTAAGAGATTCAGAGAATGTTTTTCTGGAACCTAGAGGAAAATAAAATTCATGACACACAGGATGCTTTAGAGCTCCCCACATAATTACTCCTAGCATGAGCTCTCCTTTTAGAATTCTGGTAATCCCTTAAAACCCAGCAAGTGTATCACATACAAGTTTCTCTTCTGGATTTTCTTGTTTGTACCACTTATTTTATTTATATTTAGTAGTCTTTATGTTTGGTTATTTACACAGATCTTATTTAGACTATTTTGATGCTATAAGGACTTTTGCACATTTTTTTCATTATTTTCTGCTGCTCTAAACATTTTATACATAAGAAGAGCCTCTCAAATATTTCTCAAATAAATTAAGATATAGTTAATGCCCTATCATTAAGGAGTTTACAATGTAGATGGGAAGGCAAGAACATGAGAAATAGTGATTCAGTGAGGCATATCCAAGTAATAAATACCTCAAATTTTCTAACTACAATCCTGATTTGTAAACCAACTTCATTACTCCTGAAATCTATCCAACTGATAAATCATATTTAGCAAGGTAAAAATTGTTGTCAACTTGTGTAAATTTTTGAGTTGTAAATGTTATTTCACAAGGATATCAAATATGAATGTTGAATCAACTTCATTTTTACTTTTTCTGCTTATAGAAGATAAGGATCCTGATTTAGAAACAATATTGAATATCCCTTCAGCACTCACTCCAACAGTGGTTCCTGTTATAGTGACCGTTCCTCAAAGCAAAGCTAAAGGGAAAATAAAAGGCAAAGAAAAACCCAAAGAATCCCTTAAAGAAGAAGAACACCCAAAAGAAGAAGAGAAAAAGGTAAATGAACCTTGCCATAGATTCCCAAACTCTGTTTCTGCTTCAGTGTTAACTTTTTTAAAACCATGACTTATGTCAATAGTGTTATTATAGTGCATACGTTTTATTGTGCAGATACATTAACGTCCCTTGTAGTCTCAACTTTGAATAGACAAGAAGGATTTGTACCCAAAAGTTGGGTTACCACTCCAGGAGACATATTGTCATACATAAGTTGTCTCAGGTCATTCATTCTAAGTTTGGAAAAACTTAGTTCAACCTTTTTTCCACTCTATTTCTTGGGTTTTCTTTGCTTTTCGTTGGTCAAGTTTCTGCCATTCCTTATTTTTAATACTTTGTTTAGCTCCACTGTGATAAATAACAAATGGAAGAAAAATATATTTAACCAAACAATGGAAACAGTTTCATTTGGTAAAGTTGGTCTTAGATATTGATGTGCTAAGAATCTAACAAGACTAACAGCCCACCTCTGATTAAAGAGTAGTCCTCAAAAAAAAAAAAAAAAAAAAAAAAAGAGTAGTCCTCCTATTACCCCTAGCCCTTCATCATAGTAAACACACACACACACACACTTTGACTCTAAACAAAGATCTAATAAAACAAAGATCAAAAGATGGTTCTGCTTTTCCACTGTTGGTGGGAGTGTACATTAGTTCAACCATTGTGGAAAACAGTGTTGCAATTCCTCAAGGACCTAGAACCAGAAATACCATTTGACCCAGCAATCTCATTACTGAGTATATACCCAAAGGATTATAAATCATTCTACTATAAAGACACATGCACACGTATGTTTATTGTAGCACTATTTACAATAACAAAGACTTGGAACCAACTCAAATGCCCATCAATGATAGACTGAATAAAGAAAATGTGGTACACATACACCATGGAATACTATGCAGCCATAGAAAAGAATGAGTTCATGTCCTTTGCAGGGACATGGATGAAGCTGGAAACCATCATTCTCAGCAAACTAACACAGGAACAGAAAACCAAACACCACATGTTCTCATTCATAAATGGGAGTTGAACAATGAGAACACATGGACGCAGGGAGGGGAACATCACACACTGGGGCCTGTCAGGGGGTCAAGGGCAAGGAGCAGGAGAGCATTAGGACAAATACCTAATGCATGCAGGGCTTAAAACATAGATGTCGGCTTGATAGGTGCAGCAAACCACCATGCCACCATGGTACATATATACCTATGTAACAAACCTGCACATTCTGCACATGTATCCCAGAACTTAAAGTAAAATAAATAGTTTTGGAAAAAAAAAAAGAAGGTTCTAAAAGACCGGCAACAAGGAAACTACTGGTTAAGTCTTGACTATTGGTACTTACTACTAAAAAAGTACAGTGTACAAATAATCAACTACTGGAAGATAAAATGTTTAAAAATACCCAAGAACCTGGGTTTCAGACTCTGGCCTTGTAAAAGTTACAAGGTTTAAATATGTCATTGCCTCTGTACCACATTTACATAGTTATACTAGATAAAATTTCTCATGCCAGGCCCCTTGACTCTTGTTAAGTAAAAATGTTCAAGTGTTAAAACAGAATAACTCCAGGTAATTCATTTAAAATTAATTTGGCCAAAGGCATCTTGCTAGCAAACCAATTTGTTCACTTAACATTTTTAAAATAAATGATAATGGAAGGGTGAGGATGATACTAGTTTTATGTGTGCTGACAGATTTGACGTGGCAGGTTTGCATCTTTGAGCAGTTTTGTTCATTTTACAGAATTTCATAAGCATTTTTCTCTTATTTTTGCTTTGTGTTTTAAATTTATTTTTAGCTAATTATTTATGTATTTTTCCTCTGTTAGTGACAAAGAAAAGGCAGAACAACTTAAATGTTCAACAATAGACGACTAGTTAGAAAAAAACAAATATCCACAAATTGGGTACCGGTGGAGTGATTTTGGTGGTTAACAAAAGAGAACCAACTGGAAAAATTGAAATGATTATCATTAGGGAGTGTTTGAATGTTAACAAGTAAATTTCATTCTTAAGTACATATAACCAAACAAGGGATTTAGGCATAGCTGACATAAAATTAATTAGGATTTTAAAGTAAACACACCCAAACCCTCATTAATTTATAAATAACTTTATAATTGTCTTTTATTTTTATTACTTTCATTTGCTACAAAAGCAGTATGTGCTCATTATAGAAAACAAAGGACAGATATCCTAATAACATAATATCTCTAGCATCCAAATTGTAAGAATACACCAAAAAATATGTTGGAGATGTTGGTCTCTCACACACTTTTTCTGTATTAGTTTGGACTGCTATAAAAAAAATACCTTAGACTAGGTGATTTATAAACAATCAAAATTTATTGCTCACAGTTCAAGAGGCTGTGAAGTCCAATATCAAGATATTAGCAGATTTTATGTCTGGTAAGAGCCTGTTTCTCTTATTTTATTTTACTTTATTTTATTTAAGATGGACTTCTTGCTCTGTCACTCAGGCTGGAGTATGGTAGTGTGGGCTCAAACTCCTGGGCTCAAGCAGTCATTCCACCTCAGCATCCCAAGTAGCTGGGACCACAGGCATGTACCATCATGCCTGGCCAATTCTTTTAATTTTTAAAGAGACTGGGTCTGACTGTGTTACCCTGGCTGGTTTCTAACTCCTTGCCTCAGGTGATCTACCCAACTCACTCTTTCAAGTAGCTGAAATTGCAACCACACACCACCATGCCCAGCTATTCCTCATAGAGATGGTTCCTTCAATGTGTCCTCACATGGCAGAAGAGGAAGAGGCAAAGGTGTTCCCATCAACCTCTTCTTTAAAAGCACTAATCCCATTCATAAGGGTGGAGCCCTCATGACTTAATCACTTTCTAAACTGCCCCACCTTTAATACTGTCACATTGGTTATTAGGTTCCAACATACGAGTTTGGATGGGGGACACCAACATTCAGATGCCAGCACTGCCCTTATGCCTACATATCCAAACAGAGGCATCTTTCAAGGCCCACTTCAAGCCCCAATTATTCCACAAATCCTTTCCCAATTGTTCTTATTAACTTTCACTATATCTCTATTTTCTGAGAAAAGATGTGCCAACTGTTGTTACTGCCATTTGTCTCACCTATGTGCCAGTCTGCAAGTAGAATATAAATTGCAAAACCACAGAGACTCCTGCGTCCTTGCAGGGGCCACCTAGCTCTGTGCAAGTCATGTCCTGAGCACTCAGCATATCCTGGCTTAGTCAAAATAAATAATAGCTCATTAAGAAAATGACAGCCCATTATTCACATGCTGAATTATTTACAGGAAGAAGAAGTAGAACCAGAACCTGTTTTACAAGAGACTTTGGATGTTCCCACCTTCCAGAGCCTAAATGTGTCTTGCCCCAGTGGGCTCCTGTTGACTTTCATTGGACAAGAATCTACAGGTAAGTGCTATATGGGGTAGGGTGGGGAAGCAGGGAGCAAAATGTCACGTAGAAAACAGGAAATTGTGTATTTTCATGCCAGTTAAACATACATCTTGTTGATAATGAACAATAGACTGTTTTCACATTTGTAGCATTTACTATGGCCAGGCACTGTCTAAGTACTTAGTATATATGTCAAAAATACAAATACTGTGATCTAAATACTAACTACTCCATTTTACAAAATAAGGAAATCGAGGCTTCAGGAGGTTCAGTTACTTGCCCAAGGTCACTCAACTCCCAAGTGGCAGAGCTGAAATGCCATTCTCAGCCCAGTGATGACAAAGCCAGTGCTCTTAAAAACTTGTGTGTATCCCTGTGTTCTTGCCTCTACAGAGGGTCATGGGTGCAGCATGTTGCTGGTCTGACCAAAACAAATGACACTGGACACAAAGTACATAGAGATAGATGTAGATTAAATAGGTTAAGAAAATCAAGGCTTCATTTTCATGTATCTATATATAATTTTATAGTGTTGGTTCTGTACATGGCTCCTAACTTCTTCAGCTAAATAAATAAGTACAAGTAAGATTTCTTTAATTAACCTGATGAGGCATCTGCATTTGTTACTGAATTTGAATATATTTAAATAGAAACTCACTGTTGCAGTAGAAGTAGAAGATGCAACAAAGCAGGCACTGAAGTGGGAGTTGAGTTCTAAAGCTGACCCTGACACCAACGAATGATGTGTCCCTTTTAAGTTACTTAGGGTCTCAGGGTCATGTTTTCTTATCTGATAAATATTACATAACATCAGCAATTCTTTACAGTTTCACAACTTAATATCCTCTTTTATATAATTCCCTTATGTATACCACATTTGAAAAGTGTATCAAAGAAAAACGCTATGCTTATTTAAAAATAATTTAATGTTTTATTTACTTCCCAGCTCCCTCCCCCGCAAAAAAGCAGAAACTAAATGTTGAAGTTAAATTTCGCTTCTCCTTAGGCATTCTGAATTATTAAAAATAGCCCATGGACCCTGTTCCCTTCCCAAGCATCCCTAGTGGTCCAGGTTTTCCCACTGTGCTGCATGTCTTCACTGGGTGTCTTCCACTCAGACAGTCTTCACTGAGTGTCTTCCAGTCAAAGAGCTATGAGTGTACTCAAAGAGATGTTGCTTTCAAATTCAAGGATATATTTCTTTGATTGTTTGATCCTGTTATCAAACCCCAGCTTAATACCCCTTTCACCTGTCTTTTCTATTAGTTTCATTATCTATCCTAATATTTTCCTCCTTATGTTAGGGTAGACAATGTAGTTAATAATAGCTCATCTGTTTAAAATCTTCCATATACTATGAAAATCCTAATTCAAGTCTGAACATAACAACATAAATACCAAAGTAGCAATATCTTCATCGGGTCAGTCTTGGACTTTAGGGAAAGACAGTTATCGTAGCATAAGAGGAAAGAGCCTAGACTTGAATCCTTTCCTGAGTGACTTTTTATTTTTGGTTGTTAATGGTGGTTGCTTTTGTAATATAAGAAAATGATTCAAATCTTCCTTCTCTTACTTACTGGCTGTGCGTCCTTAGTGCTGGATGGTCACTAAGTGTCTTCCAAAGTTATAACTTGCTAAGTTAATAACCTCTCCAAGCCTCTATTTCTTCATCTGAAAACTCTGGAAAATTAAAGTGCCTATTTTAAAGGATTGTGAAGGCAGACTCAATAAAAGATACATATATAAAGCATTTAACATATAGAAATATCTCAATAAATGTTTATTGGTTTATCATTATTAGTAGTACTTCTGTGATTTAAGGGGTGCCATGATTTTCCCACTAGCCTGATATATAGTTCTTAAAATGCTATCATTATGTGTTAATTCCTTTGTGTTAAGGCTTTTTGGCCCCAATAAACCACATTATAAATTAAGAGGAATTTATTCAGTTAGCAAAGCCTGCTTAGGTACGGTATGCCAGAATTTCTCCATAATAGTGCTTGCTTTTGAAGGAGCTTATTAGGTGCTTTTCTCCTTGATTGCCAGCTAACAGCAAAATGCTAGATAAATCTGGATTTGGTTAGAGATGAGGGGATTATTTTAACGTTAACTTTGAAAGATGACAGATGACTTAGGAAAGGCAAGCCTGAGGGGGTGACTTCCCCTGGGGCTATGGGCAACCAGGAAACACCAGGGCAGCGTGTGTATCCAGGGTGGAAAGTTTAGTCAAAGATGAGAGATAGGCACCAGTGGGCAGGAAGAGGAAACACCTAATTCAGCAAAACTCGGCTTCCTTCATAATTTTGCCTCAATTTGTCCTGGATTTTATTAGAGAGAGTGGCTTACACATGGAGAAGGTACCTACTAGGTGTTGTAGATGACCTAATTTACTACCTTTGAATGTAACAAGGTCATCAAAGAACCAGTATTCTAGACCATCTGTCATAACATGGAAACTGCCCTATTATTCACATGCAGACAAAAGAAAATAATTAAGCACCAGGCATGGTGTCTCACACCTGTAATCACAGCACTTTGGAAGGCTGAGGTGGGAGGATCGCTTGAGGCCAGGAGTTTGAGACCCGCCTAGCCAACATAATGAGACCCTCTGTCTACAAAAAATAGAAAAACTTAACAGGGTGTTGTGGTGCAAGCCTGTAGTCCCAGCTGCTCAGAAGGCTTGAATCCAGGAGTTTGAGGCTGCAGTGAGCTATGATTGCACCATTGCACTCCAGCCTGGATGACAAAGCGAGACTTTGTCTCTATTTTTAAAATAAAGAAAAGAAAAGAAAAAGAAAATAATTAAGCAAGATGATAAAATCCAGCCCTGCAGCATTGTCCAGTTCACAAGAAGGCTTTATTCTTTTTTTAGGTCAATATGTTATAGATGAGGAACCCACCTGGGACATCATGGTCCGTCAGAGCTACCCCCAGAGGGTGAAGCACTATGAGTTCTATAAAACGGTGATGCCACCCGCAGAGCAGGAGGCTTCAAGGGTTATCACCAGTCAAGGCACTGTTGTCAAATATATGTTGGATGGATCCACACAGGTAAAAGAATGTGTTAGAGAAATTATTCTTCCCTGTTCCAAAGTAAAAGACAACTTATGGGTAAGGAACTGTTCTATAACAGGGAAAAGGAACAACTCACTAGAAAAAGGAATGACACCTTCAAATGACAAATGATAAATAATATAGTTAGAATTAAAAAACACTATATGCAGAGCAGGATACAAATAAACTTGTCATTTCTCTGCATGATGTAAGATTGCAAACTGAACAGTTTTTTCCTTTTCTCCCTCTCAAGCTATCTTAAACTAATTTTAAAAATTTAAATAGTGAATTCATAATGGTACTGGAGGACAACAAGGCATGTCATCAATAATAGATCAGAAGATTTCGATAATTTCTTTTAAAATGCAGATCAGATGAGATCAAACTGATGGAGAAATATGCACAAAGTTAAAACATACACAAGAGGAAAACATGCAGCAAAATTAAACATCGAAATGGGAATTCTAACACAAACATTTTGCACATGGATCTCTGAGCTCAGAAAATGAGGGTAGTTCCCCAGGTAACTCACTGTCACCCAGAGGATGGGAACGAGAAACCTTAAAAATCAGAAGCCATATGCCCTGCTCTTTCCTTCCCCAGTGATCACAAAACAGGAGCTCCTGTGAGTAGACACTACACCACCAAGAAGTAAAAGGGATTCTCAATGAGAAAGATGACCATGCACTCAAGAATCATAAATCTTGGAAAGAAAGCAATCCCATAAAAGTAAAGTACATAATTCAATATCTAAAAGAAATAGCACCTGAAATTAAATACTTTAAAAAATTAAAAGTTGGTAAAAGTGATATAGGCAGACCTGAGAGGTTAACAGTTCATAAAATAACAACTTTTTAAAAAGTCGCTAAGGAAAAATATCAAGAGTTCTTAGAAATTAGAAATAATTGTGAATGATCAAAAATGGGAAGGGGTAGATTTTGAGGGTGAGAAAAGCTGAGAGATATGGAAAAAGGGTCCATATGATATAATTTCCAGAAGAAAAAAATAGTAAGAATGAAGGGAGAAAAGAATCAAAGACATAACATAAGAAGTTTGCACAGAGCTTAAAAAAAATACTTCAGATTAAACAGGGCAACCGAATGATAATAAGAACTGATATTAATTATCTTTAAAGGATTACCTAAATATGCCATCATGCAATTTTAGGACTGCACAGATAGACAATCCCAAAAGTTTCCTGAAGGAAACAAGTTACCTATACAAGAATAAAAACCAGATAGACATTTGACTTCTCATCAGCAACAGTGACGTTGGTCCTTGTCATGTTTGTTGGGAGTGTCTAGGTACCAACAGCAGGTAGACATATCTGTGGTACCTAGAGACACTGTACAAACTAGATAGATATTAATAGAAACTACAAATTTAAATATGTGATAAAATTTTAAATACAGTTGTTAGAAAAATTGAAATAGAGTATATAATTTCCCAATCGCAAAGGAGAAAGGTGAAGAATGGAAAAAATAAAACTCAAATCAATCCAAGAAAAGATGGAAATAAAAAGAAAAGAAACAAAATAAAAGGTAAATAGAAAATAGAAAATAATATTATTATGGTGGTAACTAGGCTATTGTCTCTGAACTCCAAATCTACCTTTCTATAATCTACTTTGTGCTGCTGGGTCTGGAGGTCTGCAAACAGCATTTCTTCTGTGGATCATTTTGAAGCTATTTCCATTTGACACACAGCGTTTATTGTTAAACAACCTCTCTCTTGCTTCTGAGAATGCTGAAAACTTTTGTTCATTCTTCAGATTCTCTTTGCAGATGGTGCTGTGAGCAGGAGTCCCAATTCAGGTCTTATTTGTCCTCCTTCTGAAATGCCAGCAACGCCTCACAGTGGAGATTTGATGGACTCTATTTCTCAGCAGAAATCAGAAACGATACCATCTGAGATTACCAACACAAAGAAAGGTAACAATTGAAGCCTCTCAGTTTATTATGGATTTAGTAAAGCCTTCAAGGGCTTAATAAGTGTTCAATATTATTATTATTATAATACTTGCAACCTCTTCTACAAATATATTTATATATTCTTATACATACATACATATAAATGAATTCTTGCTATCACAGAATTACGTACTGTTTCATGAACTGTTTTTCTCTTAGTAATAAATAATTAACAGTTTCATATGTTGTTATACATTCTTGCACATCAGGTATAATGCCTAAGCTGCTGTTTTAGGGTTGACTGGGCAGATTGGTAATGTCAAGATTATGAATAGGCATCTCTGTGATTCTCTTGAACTTTTCCTCATAATTGCAAGAAGGTATATCAACTCCAGGCATGAGGTCCTCATTCAGCAACTTCCAAGAAAAGATGGCAAATAAATGCAAGAGCTTTCTTCAAGTGTCTCTGTTCATCAGGAAGCAAAAGGAGTTCCAGAACTCCACCTGTCACCCCAGCAGACCTGTCTTTATGTCATTGACTAGACCTGGCTGGGGACCAAGATTAGAAAAACAAGTATCTGACATTTTTGGCCTCTATCTCAGGAGACAGCACTACTAGCAGGGAAAAAAGAAGGTGAACAATACTTGGATAAGCAATGAACAGTGTCTGCCATAATCTAAATTGCAAGACTGCTGTCCTGAGAAGTGTTTTCAATGTATACCCCTACCACTACCACATGAAAATGTCTACTTCCTCATACCCTCACCAATGCCAGATATTATCATTCTTTTAATCTTATTCAACATGATAATCAATGCATCTTATTATGTTGATTTGCATTTCTTTAATTGCTGGTGAGGTTAAACATCTAAAGATGTTTCCTGTTTGTTTTGTTTCATTTTGTGAATTTCCTATTCATGTCTTTTCTTGGTTTACCATTGTGATGGTCATCATTTTCATCTTAATTTGTAAGATATATTTTTATATAGGAGGTGTATATTTGTGTAACAGGAAAAAAATCTGATATTTCAAATATTAAATCAGCTAATCCTCTGTGAGGCATATATTTTAATAATCCCCAATTTACAAATGAGAAAATTGAGGGAGAGAAGTTAAGTAATTTCCTTGAGGTCTCTTAGCTAGCAAGTGGTAGAGCTGAGATTTGAGTCTGGGTCCCTAACCCCTAAATTACGCTGCCTCTCCTGCCTTACAAACTTTTCTCAATTTCTCATATGCCTTTAATGATCTAGATTTAAATCTAGAAACCTGGATTTACTCCTTTTTTGTCAGTTTCACACATCTCACCACAGTACCCAGAAATATTGTGTGGAAGCAACTAGATTACTTTTTAATTACTCAATATTTAGTAAAACAGATTTTCCTTGAGTAGTAGCAGAAGGTTTCTGGTTAGAGAAGTATCCAGATAGCTTTCCAAATTTCTCGGCTCAAGGGTTCCCTCTTTTGTTGATACAGAGGACTTGATATAAGACTAGTCTGTGTAGCCATTTTTCTAAGAGCCTACCCTGGTTCTGGAGGACTTCTGCTTCTAGCACAGTGTCCCCCAGATTTCTTCACAGCCCTTCCATCCAAGATGATGCACTCACTTTTTAAATTAATAGACTATTTTTAGAGCAGTTTTAGGTTTACAGAAAAATTGAGTGGAAAGTGCACAGAGTTCCTGTTTACTCTGCTCACAGTTTCCCCAATTATTAACATCTTGCTTTAGTGTTGTATATTTGTAACAACTGATGAACCAATCTTACATTATTATTAACTAAAGCCCATAGTTTACATTAGGGTTCACTCTTGGTGTTGTACATTCTATGTCTCATGTATCATACAGAATAATTTTGCCAACCTAAAAATCCCTCTTCACCTATTCACCCTTCTTATTCCACCCATCCTGAACCACACACACACTACCCCACCAAACACCTGGGAACCACTGACCTTTTTATTGTCTGTATAGTTTTACCTTTTCCAGAATGTCATATGATTAGAATCATACCTTATGTAGCCTTTCTAGACCAGGTTCTTTCACTTAGTAATATGCATTTAAGATTCCTCCCTGTCTTTTTATGGCTTGATAGCTCATTTCTTTTTATCACAGTTTAATTGATATTAATTTAATTGATATTACATCAACTAAATGAAATATTATAGATAATATTTTATCAAAAACTTTTTAAGTTATAAAACCACAAAGCAACTGTTCCTGCTGAGATTCAGCCATTTTTCTTGAATTGTTCCTCAGATTGTTACAATTCTTTGGTTAATTTTCAAAGTTCTGAAAAAGTTTATTTTAGACTTTGTGGGCCATATGGTCACTGTCACAACTACTCAACTCTGCCATTGGAGCATAAAAACAGCCATGGGCAATATGTTATTAAATAAGCCTGTGTTCTAATAAAACTTTATATGCACTAAATATACTAAATTTGAATTTTATATAATTTTCATGTTATAAATTATTACTATTCTTTTGATTCTATTAGCTATTTAGAAATGTAAAAAGAATTACTACTTCACCGACTGTAAAAAACAGACAGCAGGCCTTATTTGTCCATAGTCCACAATTTGCCAACCCCTATTCTATATTTTTACAGATTTTTTTAATCTACTACATCAATTTACTTAGCAAAAGGATGTTTAAATCTCCTGAAAAGCTAGAATAATCTCTTTGGTGCTGCGTTCCTTATAATTTAATCATTATTTCTTAATTTGTGAAATAAATATGTCTTTTTTATAGTTCTGTCATTTTTCTTTATATATTTTAAGGATATGATGATAGATATTCATACATTTAGAATTATTGTATCTATCTTCACTAATTTAACCTTTCATCATTATGCAATGACTTCCTTTCTTTCTTTCTTTTTTTTTTTTCTTGAGACACAGTGTCACTCTGTTGCCCAGGCTGGAGTGCCAATGGCGTGATCTCAGCTCACTGCAACCTCCACTTCCCACATTCAAGCAATTCTCGTGCCTCAGCCTCCCAAGTGGCTGGGATTACAGGCACGTGCCATCAAAGCTGGCTAATTTTTGTTTTGTTGTGTTTTGTATTTTTAGTAGAGACAGGGTTTCACCATGTTGGCCAGGCTGGTCTTGAACTCCTGACCTAAAGTGATCCGCTTGCCTTGGCCCCCCAGAGTGCTGGAAGCCACTGCGCCTGGCCTGCAATGACTCTTTATTCTAGGATTCTTTTTACCCTAATGTCTATTTTGCTTATTTTATTATAGCTACCCCAGCTACTATTTAATACCTTACCGGTATAACTTTTTCCACACTTATATTTCACCTTCTGTGGTTTATGTTTAAATGTGTCTCTTATAAGCAGCAAATAGGTGAATATTTTAATAATTCAATTTGAAAACGTTTGTCTTTAGGGGTTTCAGTCCATTTATTGCATATCAAATAATTTCTAAAAATGTCTTTATGTTGTCCTCATTCTTGAAAGATAATTTCACGAGGTATATAATTCTAGCTTATAGATATTTTCTCTCAGTACATTGAAAATATCCTTTATACTCTCTTGCTTCCAATGTTGCTGTTGAAAAGTTGGCTATCATTTAAGTTGTTGTTGCTTTGAGGATAATCTAACGGTCTTTAAAATATTCCCTGTGATTTTTTATTACAATTTCAATAAATTTGACTAGGTATGGATTTCTTTTCATTTATCAAAGTGGGAATACATTGAGCTTCCTGAATCTGTAAATTTGTGTTTTTCATTGATTCTAGAGATTTCTCAATAATTATCTCTTCAAATATTGTTTCTGATCCATTTCTTTTTTCTTCTCTGCTTCTGGAATTCCAGTTAAACATATTTAAGAGGCCTTGAACTTTTATTTATTTTTTTTTTACTTCTATGCTTTGGTTCTCTGAGCTTCATTCTAAACAATTACTTTAGGTCTTTCAGTTCTCTTTTAAGCTGTGTTTTGTCTCCTGCTAAATCTGCATGTTAATTTTTTAAATTTCAGTTATTACATTTTTTAATATCTAACACTTCTTTGTTTTGTTTTATAATCTGTCTTCTTTTTAGTCATATTTTTGGCCCCTTTTTATTTCTGGAATCACATAAAGTATGCATTTTAGATTCTGTGTCTGATCATTTCAATATCTAAAGTATTATAGATCTAATTCCATTTTCTGTTGCTTCTTCTGGCTCTCACTTGAATTGCCTTGTTTCATTGTGTCTCGGTACTTTTTGACTATGAGATGATAATTTTTTCTTATTGCTTTAATTCTAAATTCTTGAGCTGGTATAAAAGTGCATTTTTTTTTTTTTTTTTTGAGACATGGTCTCACTCTGTCACCCAGGCTGGAGTGTGGTGGCATGATCACAGCTCACTGCAGCCTAACCTCCTGGGCCCAAGAAATCCTCCCATCTCAGCCACTAGAGTAGCTGGGACTTGTCTTTAGATGTTTTAGTCCGTTTATTATATACCAAATATTTTCTTAAAATGTCTTTATGTTGTCTTCATTCTTGAAAGATAATTTCACTAGGTATAGAATTCTAGCTTACAGATATTTTCTCTCAGTACATTGACAATATCCTTTATATTCTTTTGCTTCCAGTGTTGCTGTTGAAAAGTTGGCTTGCATCACCATGCAACAGGCATGCACCACCATGCTCAGCAATTTTTTTTTTTTTTTTGTAGCAGTGAAGTGTCACTATGTTGGCCAGGCTAGTCTCAAACTCTTGGGCTTAAGCAATCCTCCTACCTTGGCCTCCCAAAATGCTAAGATTATAGGTGTGAGCCACTGTGCCTGGCCAATAGTGCATTTCTTTATAAAGGACTTTGGCTTCAGAAAGGACTTTAGCAGTTGATAGGGGAACCAACAGTCTTGGATCACTTTAAATTATTAATTTAAGGAATTTCTGGGGGTGCCACTCAAGTGGTATGAATTTTCACTTCAAACCTATATAAGGATCTACTTGTGGTTATACAACCTCTTAAGTACTTTCTTGTTTTCTCTGCTCAGCACCAAGTTTGAACACAGGCAAGCTTTCTGACAGTTCTAGAGTGGGGTGGGAAAGGACACGAATGATTTCTGTTAATAATCCACACTTAGTCTGAGAGTGTAGTCATTTGAGGGCCTCATATCAAACCTTCCATCCAGATTGTGCAGGTTCTGGCATTCATTTCTGCCTAAGTCCCACAATGCTAAGAAAACAAATACTCAGAATCACACAGTTTGACAAAAACCCACTGGACAAAATCCAACTTCAGAGCTATTTTACCTCTTTGGCTTCCTACATTTACTTAGTCCATGGCTTGTGCTGATCTTACTTATAGTTGCCAGCTCAGAGACACTTTCAAGAAGACTGATTTAAAGATGTTTTCTAGCAGTTATGGTTCTTTTCAGTGGAATTATTGGTATCTAGTCTGTGATGTTGCTGAAAATGGAACTCCAACCCTGCTTGTTTCCTTCCTCTTACCTTTGAGCTGATCCTTGGCCAGTTTGCTTTGTTGACCCATATACTTAATGGAAGAAAATAGATGATTAAGATTTCAGGATCTGCATGTGATTCTTTCTCTTATCCTTTCACTGCCATCCTCATCCTTTCATATCCAAATTTGTTCCCCAATATACATTTGTATCAAAATTGTACCTGTTTATCTCTTCTGCCAACTTGAATTTCTAATACTTTAAAACCTTCTAACTGTTCTTCCTGCTTTTATTAGTATTGATTTTGCATCTTCCTGCCAAAAGCATGTAACTAATCTTCCAAATACCTCACTTTCTCTCTTATAACACTTTAGTTATTAAATATCACCTGTAGGAAAAATTCCAAGGTCTCTAACGTACTGCTAAAGTCCCCTCAATTGAATCAGTGCCTGCCTCTCCTGTCCCTTCACTCAACCAAAATCTGCTTGAAATGTATCATCTGGTCACACTGGTCTGCTAGTAGTTGTCTGTGTATACCATGCTATTCTTTACCCCATTGTATTTCTTATGTTCCTTATGTTGGAATGCCCTTTCCATAGCTCACCTTTTTTGATTAGAAAAAGTAACAAGAACAGAAGGAGAGGGGAGGGAAATAGGAGAAAAAGGGAGAATATAGAAAAAAAGATAATTCCTAAAGTACTTCCTACTATTTCTAGAGGAATTATTCTGAAAGCGATACCATTTTCACTCTCTACTAATATTCTAGAAGTATAAATATGTCCAAATCAAATTTTAGGGCAATGAAAAGGCTCAACCTGATTTATCTGCCTTTGGTTCTTCCCATTAGTTGAGTCCCTATCAGTTAGGCCGAGATGCATGCCCTGCTGCACATTTCATGGTCTGAATCTGGAGAATCTTCCAAGAGTTAACATTCCTTTACTATCATTACTTGCAATTTGTTTCAGGGTCTGAGTTTACCTCATCATTGAGATGTGATAACACTGTCAAGTCTCATCTACAGATTACTCATTATTATTCATGGAAATGGAGTATGTCTACCCTGATAGAGCAACTGAAATATTGGTCAAGGATTTCCATGAGGGTGTCTTCAGTTCTCTCCTCCTGTTCCAAATGAGTGGGAGGTAAAGGATGGAGAGGAAAATGTATCAGACAATTGTTGATGTACTAATTAAACTGCACAAACTCCTCTCCCCAGGGATATGCGTGGCTGGTGAGGTTTCCCAGATCCAGGGTTGAAGAAAGATGTTTCCTGTTATTACTGACAAAAGGGCAAAATCAGGGGAATCAAGAGTTAAAAATTTAGTAACTGTTATAGTCCAATATGTCAAAAGGAGGCTGAAAGTTTGACAGATAAGTGAGAGCAAAGGTAGGCTTTAAAAACCAGAATACAAAACCCAAAATCTGGGACCCAGAGAGAAGTATGCAAGACCCAAAAGAGTACAGAAGTTGACCAGAATATTTTTTGTGCCCTAGACAGTGAGCTGTGTAAGCATGTGTATGTCTGGGGGAAAGTGGTGGGAATTTAGCCATGGTTTAAGTGCTAAAATTACGCTATTCATAACCTGATACTTTTCCCTATTGAGAAATAATATAATTGATGAATACCACTTAGAATTGTCTATGCCACAGTATCTGAGGTAGTTTGTACTGTGTCAAAACATAGTGAATGATGTATATAATTGATACTATAGTTATATTGTTGTTGTTTGATTTTACTTGAACTTCACAGGAAAAAGTCACAAAAGTCAGTCATCAATGGCCCATAAGGGTGAAATCCATGACCCTCCTCCAGAGGCAGTTCAAACTGTAACTCCTGTGGAGGTTCACATAGGCACCTGGTTTACAACCACACCTGAAGGAAATCGGATCGGCACCAAAGGATTAGAAAGAATAGCAGACTTGACCCCATTGTTATCCTTTCAGGCCACAGATCCTGTCAATGGAACGGTATGACAAACTATTGTTTATTGCAAAATTTTCTAAGTCATTAGTATTCTGAAACAACACCCAAAAGAGTGCCTAGCTGATAATATTTTTTCAATAAATGTCTGTTAAGTAGTGGATGGATGGATGGGTGGATGGATGGATGATTGGATTCATTTTCCAAAATCTAAAAACATCTTGTGGTGTATTTGCCAAATGGAGAGTATCATTAGGGACTATTTTTGTGTGTTGTGGGCACAACCACGTCAGAACAAAATGCTAATTTTTGAGGTGAGCGGCAGTTCATGAGTTCTCTATGCCATTTTTAAGATATATGTGATTAATGATGTCGTCGTGTGCTTCCTTATGCTGAATGTATGTGTGTAAAATGTCTTATCTTCTGGAAGTGAGAGGCTTCTGGAAGTGAGTGTCTCATTACTACTTATTTGTGCCCACTTGCAGTTGGTGAAAGGAGTTTGTTCATGATCCTTTGATTTGGAAAAACTTATGGTATATTGAAAGAGATAAGACACACATTAAATAACTCAAGAATCCAAAACTCTAGAGAAACTTTACAAAAACTTTATTTGTAGCATAAGAATACATGACAAATTAGTGGTACAGAACATAATGGTTCTGTTTATTATATGAAAGCAAAACTCCTGGAATGAACAATAGCACTTTCTGTGTGCCAGGATTTTTTTTTTTTTTTTTTTTGACACAGAGGTTTGCTGTTGTCGCCCAGGCTGGAGTGCAAGCTCACTGCAACCTCCACCTCCTAGTTCAAGCAATTCTCCTGCCTCAGCCTCCCATGTAGCTGGGATAACAGGCACCTGCCACCACGCCCGGCTAATTTTTGTATTTTTAGTAGAGACAGGGTTTTGCCATGTTGGCCAAGCTAGCCTCCAACTCCTGACTTCAGGTGATCGGCCCGCCTCAGCCTCCTAAAGTGCTGGAATTACAAACATGAACCACCACGCCCGGCCCTCTATCTACCAGGATTTCTTTGGGGACTTTTATACACATTATCTCATTCAGCCCTCACACCAAATGTGTATTACACAGATGAGAAATTGAGCCTTAGGAAGTTAAGTAATGTGATCAAGAGTACATGTTCAGAAAGTGCTGAAGCCAGGATTAGAGCCAGTTGTTTGTGACCAAAAACTGAGCTCTTTCCATTCCTTAGCTATTCCTTTAACATCTTATATGGAGATTTGCAGCACCCTCTGAATCTAAACAAAATGAAGACGTTCCTAAGTGCCTTAACTCTTGTGTGTGAACTTCCTACCCTTGTTTAAAACCATGTGCTGCTGTAAAAAGCAAAATGCCAGCTTGCTATTAAGATGGATTACATGATCTAACCAAATATTTTTTCCTCTTCAGCCTACTTCTGAAATAATTTTATAATCTCTTACTTTGTTTGCTAGTTGCCTTTTTTTGTAAGACTCAAAGTACATATGATCTCAGAAAGGTTTTTTGTTCATTTGTTTCCCGAGGTTTTTTAATGTTTGTTTTTGTTCCTTCAAGTAACTCACTTTAATTCGGCCCCTGAGGTAGATTATTTGGCTTAATATGCAAGTTTGATTAACATTTCTTTGTTAACTTTTAATTTCCCTCATTCATCTCTATCACCATTTTGGAAGCATGAACCAGCATCCAAGAACCTGGATTCAAGCATGAATTAAAAACACCAAATGCCCAACAGAATAAGAGCAATAATAGTGATATTTACTGAGCACTCACTGTGTACTAGGCCCTGTTCTCTGCATTTTCCATATACTAACTCACTCAATTCTCACAACAAACTACTATTGTTTCCATTTTATAGATGAGGCAACTAAGCTACAGAGAGGTTAAGTAATTTGCCCAAGGTCACACAGCAAATGGTAGAGCCAGAATGTAGACCTCAACACTGTGTCCCAGATCTCAAGAAACTGGCATATGAAACAAAATTGAAAATGACATGAAATATTACATTCTAAAGGAATGAGCACTGCCCTTGGGGTGAGGCAGACCTGTGTTTCAAGCCCTAGCCATAGTCCTTACCAGATGTATAACTTTTGGCAAGTTTCTCATCTGGTTTCTTATTCATAAACTGGAGATAATAGTCATTACCTGTTGAGAAGATTAGTACCAGACCTGGCACTAACAGGCATTCAGAAATATCCTTGTTACTGTGTTATTGCCACCACTAAGAATGATTATCCTATTCTATGGTGACCAGAAAATGTCACTGTTTATGTGGCGTTACGAAATGTTTCAATAATTCTAAATCATAATATGTAAATATCTCTACTAGATAAAAAACCGCTATCAATAATTACTAACATGATGGCCAAGTGTGACGCACTTTACCAGCATCATCTCGTTTAACCCACATAACATTTCCAAGAAGATACTAGTGTTGGCTCCATTTTGTGGATGAGTAAACCAGACAACAAACAGGTTAAGCAACATCCCTAAGTCTACCCAGCCATTTGCGGAGTCGGGATTCAAACTCAGCTTAACCCCAGAGCTCATGCTCTCAACCACCACATTACACAGCAGTATTTCTTAGTATACATTCCTGGCTGAAAGCACCAATGATAAGAACCTAAAATAATGATCGGCATTCATTTCTCTCTTAAGTAGTGACTGCCACCTACCATAAAGAGCTAAACAGGTGAAAATCACCTGCTCCCAATAGCCATGAACTTTGGAGTCAGAAAACAGCTAGCAAACTCACTCTCACGTCCATCCAGACCTTCAGTGAAACATTATGTTCCTTAGAGTTAGAATAGTGTAAGTTTAGAAAATGCCCAATGATTGAAATATGCATTATGCAATTTACAGTACTGCAGTTGCAGGTTGAGCTTTCCAGAAGCAAACACTGAGGTGAAGTCCCAAGTGCAAGATTTTAATAGAGACATATATGTGAAAGGAGGAGGGAGAAAGCAGTAATGGGCAGAGGTAAAAGCTGAACTATGAGGCAAACACAACAGAGCCATGGTTAACCCAGTGCAGAGCTCAGGAGCAGCAACCCACGCACACCGCTTCTCATACCCCTCAAGCTCACAGGCATGCAGCGGCACTGAGCAGCAGATACATGCACAGGTCAACTTGACATAGAGAGGCTACAGCCTCTGTCCCCTACCAATCTTCAAGTACTGCTCTGATGACATTAGCCCGACACTTGCAGGCCATCTTGCAGTTCACCCCATCTGGGGAAGTTCTGCAGAGCAGAGGTTTCACAGCACACAAGGCAGCCACAATATGCCGCATTTATCATTACTCCGTAGTTTCCAAGGAAACAGGGCCTGTGGTCATTTTTCCAGACAGACCTGGGTTAACCCAGTCCAGATGTTAAGTGTTTCCTCAAATATGCCCTGATACTTACTTGCTGCATGACTTTCAGCAAGCTTCTCAACTTCTCTAAGCCTACATTTCCTCATCTATAAAATGAGGGTACCTGCCAAGATTGTTATGAAGGTTAGATCAGGTAGATGAGATAAAACTTTGCCTATAAATAAATAACTAGGACTTTGATGGTGCCATCTTCGTATTCAATGGATAAAAATAAGTACACTTGGGATGAACCATGTGGCCAAATGATTATGTCCTGCCTCTTCATGTTCAGGTTATGACAACTCGAGAAGACAAAGTTGTCATAGTTGAAAGGAAAGATGGTACTCGGATAGTGGATCATGCTGATGGTACCAGAATCACAACCTTTTATCAAGTTTATGAAGATCAAATTATTCTGCCAGATGATCAAGAAACAAGTATGTTTTATTTTCTGAGTACATGACAATATTTTATAACTCTTTAGCGTAAGTTAGATAGAATCCTCACTGACTGCTGAACATACACATAAGAAAAATAATTTTTTGGTAAAGTTAGCCAACTAAAGAAAACCCATGCCATCCAAAGCAGGGTCTATAAGGATTTAGTAGTATTATTATTATCATCATTACTTATTTTGATATTTGCTTTATAAAATTTAATTTATTCTTTTAATTGACAGATATTGTGTATATATATATATAATAAATAATATGATGTGATGAAATAAGTATACATTGCAAAATGACTCAATCAAGTGAATTAACGTATGCATTACCCTCAGATACTTATTTTTAGTTGTGAGAAAACTTAAAATCTGTCTACTTTCTTAGAAATTTTTTTTGACCAGCAGCACCCAGCAGCCAAAAGTTTCTCCAACACACTCCTCACTGTGTGTGTGTGTGTGTCTGTGTGTGTGTGTGTTTTATTTATGTATTCATTTATTTAAAACTTTTAAGTTAAGGGGTACATGTACAGGTTTGTAATATAGCCAAATTCATGTAACAGGGTTTGCCGTACAGATTATTTTGTCACCCAGGTATTAAACCTAGTACCCATAAGTTATTTTTTCTGATCCTCTCCTTCTTCCTACCTTCCAGTAGGCCCCAGTATCTGTTGTTCCCCTCTATAGGTCCATGTGTTTTCATCATTTGGCTCCCACTTATAAGTGAGATGAAGCGGTATTTGGTTTTCTCTTCCTGTGTTAGTTTGCTAAGGGTAATGGCCTCCAGCTCCATGCGTTTTCCAGCAAAGGATGTGATCGTGTTTGTTTTTATGGCTGCATAGTATTCCGTGGTGTATATGTATGCCATTTGCTTACTCCAGTCTACCACTGATGGGCATTTAGGTTGATTCCATATCTTTACTATTGTGAACAGTGCTACAGTGAACATATGTGTGTATGTGTCTCTACAGTAAAATGATTTATATTCCTTTAGGTATATACCCAGTAATGGGATTGCTGGGTCGAATAGTACTTCTGTATTCAGGTCGTTGAAGAATCACCACACTGTCTTCCACAGTGGCTGAACTAATTTAAATTCCCACCAGCAGTGTATAAGCATTCATTTTTTGCTGCAACCTGGCCAGCATCTGTTACTTTTTGGCCTTTTAATAATTGCCATTCTGACTGATGTGAGAGTGTATCTCATTGTGGTTTTGATTTGCATTTCTCTAATGTTCAGTGATGTTGAGCTTTTCTTCATGTGTTTTTTGGCCACGTTTATGTCTTCTTTTGAAAACTGTTCATGTTTTTTGCCCACTTTTTAATGGGGTTGTTTGGTTTTTTGCTTGCTAATTTGTTTAAATTCCTTACGGATGCTGGATGTTAGCATGTATGAACCTTTGTCAGATGCATAGTTTGTATATATTTTCTCCCATTCTGTAGGTTGTCAGTTTAGTCTGTTGATAGTTTCTTTTGCTGTGCAGAATTTCTTTGTTTTAATTAGATCTCACTTGTCAATTTTTGCTTTTGTTGCAATTGCTTTTGGTATCTTTGTCATGAAATCTTTGCCTGTTGCTACGTCTAGAATGGTATTGCCTAGGTTGTCTTTCAGGGTTTTTATAATTTTGGGTTTTACATTTTATTCTTTAATTCATCTTTAGATAATTATTCTATATGGTGTAAGGAAGGGGTGCAGTTTCAATCTTCTGCATATGGCCAGCCATTTATCTCAGTACCATTTATTGAATAGGGAGTCCTTTCATCATTGCTTGTTTTTGTTGATTTGTTTAAGATCAGATGACTGTAGGTGTGTGGCTTTATTTCTGGGCTCTCTATTCTGTTCCATTGGTCTATGTGTCTGTTTTGCTGTTTTGGTACAAGTACCATGCCATTTTGGTTACTGTAGTCCTGTAGTATAGCTTATAGTTGAGTAGCACGGTTACGGTTGCCTCCAGCTTTGTTCTTTGTACTTATCATTTTTAATTGTGAGAATACTTAAAATCTACTCTCTTAGAAATTTTCAAAATACAATATGTTATTTACTATAGTCACCATGTTATACAGTATATCTCTTTAATTTATTCCTCTTATATAACTGAAATTTTATATCCTTTGACCAACATCTCCCCAATTCCTCACCCCAATGGCTGGTAACTACCATTCTACTCTCTACTTGCATGAGTTCAACTTCTGTAGAATCTGCATATAAGTGTGCTATTTGTCTTTCTGTACCTGGATTATTTTACTTAAAATAATGTCCTCCAGGTTTATCCATATTGTTGCAAATGACAGATTTCTTTTTTTTTAACACTGAATAGTATTCTATTGCCTATATTTACTTTATTTTCTTTATTTTCTTTATTTTCCTTATTTATTCATCCATTGATGAACATGTAGACTGATTCCAAATCTTGGTTTTTGTGAATAATGCTGCAATGAATATGAGGATGCATTAGGACCTTTTATTATGATCATTATCTCAACAGAGATGGGAGTGATAACAGCTCTAGTTAGCTGATGGTTAGTAATAGTCTTTGATTGGTGGCAACTAAAACCTAATAACCATATTCATCTGTCCTAGATACTAGCTTTCAGATGTTTCCTTTGATCCTCAAGGCATCTAATTTGCATAAATAGGTGACCTCAGATAGGTCTTCAGTCTCAGCATGTCTTTCGTCAGAAAGGTGGCATCAGAAAAAAGGAAACGGTAGCTGCTAATTAACTGGAACCTGCTCAAAGACTCTAAAAGCCTTCCACTCTTCTGAACCTTAATTTAAGAAATATTTTTAATGAGAAGTTATTCCGTGAGTTCCCTTTCCTTAATGTCAATGTTTTTATTGGATATATTTAAGATGTACAAAATGATATTTTGATATCCATATACATAGTGGACTAAGTGAAGCAAATTAATATATCTCTTACCTCATATAGTTTGTGTGTGTGTGTGTGTGTGTGTGTGTGTGTGTGTGTGTGTTATGAGCACCTAAAGTCTACACTCTTGGAAAATCGTCATTATACAATACAAGTTATTGACTATAGTTTTTATGCTATACATTACATTCTTATACTTATTCATCTTACATAATTGTATAATTGTAACTTTATATGCTTTGACCTACATCTCCCCACCCCACCCACAAAATCATGCATATCATATTATGATGCACTAACTTTATTTCTGCTTATAGAGAGAGGGACACTCATACACATTTGCACAAGGAAACAAATACAGAGGAGTGACTTGCAGCATTGAGTATAATATTGAAATATTGGGAAAATATAAATGTCCATCAGTGGCAGAATAGAAAAACAAAATGTGGTAAATTCCTACAAAATAATACTATAAGGTTGTTAAGGGGAGTCATACACACACAAATAAATATATCTATGCACACATATATGTATAGATAGATGGATGGATACATATAGATCAAGATGGTTCGAGGTCTTGAAACTGTATTAAATGAAAAAAGCAGGTGTAGAATGACAGTACAGTAATTACATAAATACATAGAGTAACATATAGCTTACATACATTTAAAGCACACACATTTATATTGTTCATGATATATATGTACATAAAAGTGTAAAAATGAATTTCAAGATAGAAATAAGCCCAGATATAAGGAGAAACTTCAATATTATCTGTAATTTTTATTTTACATATGTATTAAAAAGTATAAATTTTAATTGATGAATATCTGAGTGCTTAAATTATATTTTATGCTTTTCAATTTTTCAAGTTGAAAAATCAGATGTTCTCAACTCCTGCAAATAAATAGTGAGAATAAGACAGCATACTAAATTAAGAAGATTTTTTCTGGAAGAATTATTATGAATTGACAAGAACAGCAGGCCACACTCCAACCCTGTGGAGTTCTCAGTACTTGCTCTAGACTTTACAATTGTGTTTTTTCCATGGGGAATCCAGACAGCCAGGAAACAGCAGCAAAATCAATAGGCTGAGGTCTGTTTTGCAATGTCTACATCCTATCAGATCTGCTTACCTTGCATTTGCTTGTAGCCGAGGGTCCTCGGACTGTCACCAGGCAGGTGAAGTGTATGCGGGTAGAAAGCTCACGCTATGCCACTGTTATCGCCAACTGTGAGGACAGTAGCTGCTGTGCCACCTTTGGAGATGGAACAACTATTATTGCAAAGCCACAGGGAACATACCAGGTAGGTCTACGAGGAAAATGAGAAGCGCCAAAGATGAGTGTCTATTCAGCTGAGAAAACCCACTTCTCTGGGGCAGTAAAAATGCCTGCAATGTACACTGCTGTTGCTTTCATTCTCTTATAATACTAACATCTTAGAATATACTTCTCAAACTCTTATTTATTCATCCCTTTTTACATCCCATGCCAGAAAAACATTGTCCTGCTTGTTTTGCAAAACTTCGGTAGTTTTGGACCAAGGTTATAAACCAAAATGTGTTAGTTGAGGATTTCTTATGTGCTAGGCACTGTGGGTGTTAGAAACACTTAGATGGTTTGGCTTGTGCCTAACAGACCAGCTTCACCTCCTGCCGCCTCGACCCTCATTCTCATTATCCATCCTTCCCACCTCCAGTCAGTCCTCACTACTCTACTCAAAGTCCTAGCAGCACAAGACAGAGCACATGGTGTGTGTGGTCCCTGGAGGGCAGTTCTCCTAGCTGAAGCAAAGCTCTGTCCTTGGAAGGCCAAGGAGGAGCAGTTAGCACCTTCCCTACCTTTCTGCATTTCCCCTTTAAACACAACCATCCAGTGTCAGCATGCAGTTCCTTTAGCCTTAAAAGGACTTGCTTTCAGCTTTTCACTTGCTGGAGAAAGGACACTAGAGCAAAAATATTGCAAACAATGTCACTAGATACTGAGAGCTAAAAGCTAGAAGATGATAGACAAAGATCTCACTGGCAAACATTTGTTACTGTGAAAGTTGCTGAAGTCAGTTTATCCCTCTCATCTCTTCTGATAATGTTATCCTTCCACCTCTTCATCCAGTGTAGATTATTATGGGGCAAGGAAGGTGCTGGAAGTGAGAGATGAAAGAAAACATAGATATAAATTTTCATGTTTTTGATTAGGCAATAGTTTCTTAGATATGATGCCAAACATACAAGCTTTACCAAAATCAAAAAAAAGTTTGTGATTCAAAGGACACCACCAAGAACGTGAAAAGATAAACTACAGAATAGAAGATGTTATTTGAAAATCATATAACTGATAATGGTCTCATGTACAGAGTACCCTACAACTTAGAACTCTCATAACTCAACAATAAAAAGACTAATAACCCACTTTAAAATGAGCAAAGGATTTGAATTTCTCCAAAGATATGCAAATAGCAAATAAGCCAAGAAAAGATGCTCAACATCATTAGTTGTGAGGGAGCTGCAGCGCAAACTGCAATGAGATATCACTTCACACCCACTAGAAAACTGTAATCAAAAAGACAGATAATCACAAGTGTTAGCAAAGGTATGGAGAAATTGGAACCCTCAGAAATTGCTGATGGTATAAGTCACTTTGGAAAGTGGTTAGTCACTTGGAAAATGGTATAGTCACTTTGGAAAACAACTTGGCACTTCCTCAAAAGGTAAACTTAGTTGTCATATGACCCAGCAATTCCACTCCTAGGTATATATCCAAGAGAAAACATACATCTGCACAAAAACTTGTACACAATATTTACAGCAACATCTTTAATAATAGCAAAACTGAAAACAATGCAAATGATGGCAACTCATAAGTGAATAAAGAAAATCTGATATAGCCATACAATGGAATATTACTTATCCATAAAATGGAATAAAGTACTGTGTGCTACAACATGAGTGAACCTTGAAAACATTATGCTAACTGAAAGAAGCCAGACACAAAAGGCCACAGAGTACATGCTTCCATTTAAATGAAGTATCTAGAATAGGTATATCCATAGACAGTAGATTAGTGGCTGCCAGGGCCTAAGGCCTAGTGATCCAGAAAGATTTCTAACAGGATCAGCGTTTCTTTGGGCGATGATAAAAGTGTTACGGAATTAGTGATAATGGCTTCACACATTTTTGAATATACTAAAACCCACGGAATTATACACTTTTAAAGGGTAAATCTATGATATGTAAATTATATTTCGGAAAAAGATCTGTTTGAACCAGAATTCATTACATGAAGTCTATTACTTAAGGACCGTGTCAGCCACCAGAGAGAGGAGAGATGAGTTTCTAAGAGCACTTATCGCACAGTTTTATACCCTTTCAGAGATGCTTCTTATCCAAGATCATGAGCAACCCCAAACATTTAGAATAGGATGAATAGGGCCAAACATGTATGTAACCTCAGCTAAAATATGTTAAATATTAGAAATAAGGGGGCATAAGACAATTAGTTAGAAGAGATATTAAAGCGAGCAGATAAGATATGAGGATACAGGAGAAATGATATCCTAACTATTCAGTTTGCCTCTTTATCGAGTAGCCCTTTCCAAACCTTAAGTCCTCCCTTGATTAATGTTTTCCTCCTGCAAACACAGTTTGTGACTAGGATCTATGGGTATTCTTTCTCCTAAAATGGTTTTCCAAGTCCCACATATTTAACAAGAAAATTTTAATAATTTCTGTCTTTCTGTTACTCTTTCAGGTGTTACCTCCAAACACAGGCTCTCTTTATATTGACAAGGATTGTTCAGCTGTGTACTGCCATGAGTCAAGCAGTAATATATACTATCCTTTTCAAAAGCGTGAGCAGCTGCGAGCTGGCAGGTACATCATGAGGCATACTTCAGAGGTTATCTGTGAGGTTCTGGATCCTGAGGGAAACACTTTTCAGGTAAAGTGCACCTTTGGTATGGAGAGAGAGCCTGTGGCTTTGCTTTTGAGATATTTCACACTACAAAGCTTCCATGTAGATTTTTACCTTAGTTGCCTTGGGATTAATTATCCACTTACTGCCAATACTTTGGGCAAGCAGTAATGAATGTCAATACATTTCCTTTGATTCTTAAGTGTACTTTCATGGAGAATGGCAAGCCGAATAATTGGTGGGATAGAAATGTTAGGGCTAAATAAATAATTAGAACAGAAAGGAAGAAACAGTAGCAGACATCTGAAAATAATGCCAACATAAAGAATGATGTGGCAATGGTCCTTATCCAAGTTGAAGTCAGAGCAAACACAAGACAGGAGGCAAGTTTCTTTGAGTAGTCACAGAGTAAGATGGTAAGAAGGATACAGTAGGGTTGAAAGTGGGGAAGTGGACCAACATCCAAGCTGAGTGCCAAATCAAGAACACAATCCTGAAGATGGCTGAATAGGAACAGCTCCAATCTGCAGCTCCCAGTGTGATCGACACAGAAGATGGGTGATTTCTGCATTTCCAACTGAAGTACCTGGTTCATCTCACTGGGACCAGTTGGACAGTGGGTGCAGCCCACGGAGGGCAAGATGAAGCAGGGCAGGGCATCCGCCTCACCTGGGAAGTGCAAGGTGTCAGGGGATTTCCCTTTCCTAGCCAAGGGAAACCATGACAAACTGTACCTGGAAAAACAGGACATTCCTGCCCAAATACTGTGCTTTTCCAATGGTCTTAGCAACCAACAGATAAGGAGATTCTCTCCCATGCCTGGCTTGGTGGATCTCACGCCCAAGGAGCCTTGCTGACTGCTAAACAGCAGCCTGAGATCAAACTGTGAGGCAGCAGCCTGGCTGGGGGAGGGGGTCCGCCATTGCTGAGGCTTGAGTAGGTAAACAAAGCAGCCAGGAAGCTCGAAATGGGCAAAGCCCACCACAGCTCAGCAAGGCCTACTGCCTCTAGTCTCCACCTCTGTGGGCAGGGCTTAGCTGAACGAAAGGCAGCAGACAACTTCTGCAGACTTAAACATCCTTGTCCAACAGCTCTGAAGAGAGCAGTGGTTCTCCCAACATGGCGTTTGAACTCCGAGAAGGGACACACTGCCTCCACAAGTGGGTCCATGACCCCCGTGTAGCCTAACTGGGAGACACCTCCCAGTAGGGGCCAACAGACACCTCATATAGGCAGGTGCCCCTCTGGGACGAAGCTTCCAGAGGAAGGATCAGGCAGCAATATTTGCAGTTCTGCAATATTTGTTGTTCTGCAGCCTCCACTAGTGATACCCAGGCATCCAGCAAACTCCAACAGACCTGCAGCTGAAGGACCTGACTATTAGAAGGAAAAGTAACAAACAGAAAGGAATAGTGTCAGCATCAACAAAAAGGACATCTACACCAAAACTCCATCTGTAGGTCACCAACATCAAAGACCAAAGGTAGATACAACGACAAAGGTGGGGAGAAACCAGAGCAGAAAAGCTGAAAATTCTAAAAATCAGAGTGCTTCTCCTCCAAAGGATCACAGCTCCTTACCAGCAACAGAACAAAGCTGGATGGAGACTGACTTTGATGAGTTGACAGAAGTAGGCTTCAGAAGGTCAGTTATAACAAACTTCTCTGAGCTAAAGGAACATGTTCAAACCCATCGCAAGGAAGCTAAAAACCTTGAAAAAAGCTTAGACGAATGGCTAAGTAGAATAAACCATGTAGAGAAGACATTAAATGACCTCATGGAGCTGAAAACCATGACATGAGAACTTCATGACACATGCACAAGCTTCAATAGCTGATTTGATCAAGTGGAAGAAAGGGTATAAGTGACTGAAGATCAAATTAATGAAATAAAGTGAGAAAAGAAATTTAGAGTAAAAAGAAACAAACAAAGCCTCCAAGAAATACAGGACTATGTGAAAAGATGAAATCTATGTTTGACTGATGGACCTGAAAGTGATGGGGAGAATGGAACCAAGTTGGGAAACACTCTTCAGGATATTATCCAGGAGAACTCCTCAACCTAGCAAGGCAGGCCAACATTCAAATTCAGGAAATACAGAGAACATCACAAAGATACTCCTCGAGAAGAGCAACCCCAAGACACAAGTGTCAAATTCACCAGGGTTGAAATGAAGGAAAAAATGTTAATGGCAGCCAGAGAGAAAGGTCGAGTTACCACAAAGGGAAGCCCATCAGACTGACAGTGGATCTCTTGGCAGAAACCCTGCAAGCCAGAAGAGAGTGGGGGCCAATATTCAACATTCTGAAAGAAAAGAGTTTTCAACCCCAAATTTCATATCCAGCCAAACTAAGCTTCATAAGTGAAGGAGAAATAAAATCCTTTACAGACAAGCAAATGCTGAGAGATTTTGTTACCACTAGGCCTGCCTTACAAGAGCACCCGAAGGAAGCACTAAACATGGAAAGAAACAACCAGTACCAGCCACTACAAAAACATGCCAAATTGTAAAGACCATCTATGCTATGAAGAAACTGCATCAATTAATGGGCAAAATAACCAGCTAACATCATAATGACAGGATCAAATTCACACATAACAATATTAACCTTAAATGTAAATGGGCTAAATGCCCCAATTAAAAGACATAGACTGGCAAATTGGATAAAGAGTCACGACCCATCAGTGTGCTGCATTCAGGAGACCCATCTCATGTGCAAAGACACACATAGGCTCAAAATAAAGGGATAGAGGAAGATCTACCAAGCAAATGGAAAGACAAAAAAAAAGCAGGGGTTGCAATCCTAGTCTCTGATAAAACAGACTTTAAACCAACAAAGATCAAAAGAGACAAAGAAGGCCATTACATATTTGTAAAGGGATCAATTCAACAAGAAGAACTAACTATTCTAAATATATATGCACCCAATACAGGAGCACCCAGATTCATAAAGCAAGTCCTTAGAGACCTACAAAGAGACTTAGACTCCCACACAATAGTAATGGGAGATTTTAACACCCCACTGTCAATATTAGACAGATCAATGAGACAGAAGGTTAACAGGGATATCCAGGACTTGAACTCAGTTCTGCACCAAGCAGAACTAATAGACATCTACAGAACTCTCCGCCCCAAATCAACAGAATATACATTCTTCTCAGCACCACATCACACTTATTTTACAATTGACCACGTAATTGGAAGTAAAGCACTCCTCAGCAAATGTTAAAGAACAGAAATCACAACAAACTGTCTCTCAGACCACAGTGCAATCAAATTAGAACTCAGGATTAAGAAACTCACTCAAAACCACACAAATATATGGAAACTTAACAACTTGTTCCTGAATGACTACTGAGTAAATAACAAAATAAAGGCAGCAATAAAGATGTTCTTTGAAACCAATGAGAACAAAGACACAACATACCAGAATCTCTGGGACACATTTAAAGCAGTGTGTAGAGGGAAATTTGTAGCACTAAATGCCCATGAGAGAAAGCAGGAAATATCTAAAATCAGCACCCTAACATCACAATTAAAAGAACTAGAAAAACAAGAGAAAACAAATTCAAAAGCTAGCAGAAGGCAAGAAATAACTAAGATCAGAGCAGAACTGAAAGAGATAGCGACACAAAAAACCCTTCAAAAAATCAATGAATTGCCAGGAGCTGGTTTTTTGAAAAGACCAACAAAATTGATAGACCATTAGGAAGACTAATAAAGCAGAAAAGAGAGAAGAATCAAATAGACACAATAAAAAATGATAAAAGAGATATGACCACGGATACCACAGAAATACAAACTACCATCAGAGAATACTATAAACACCTCTATGCAAATAAACTAGAAAATCTAGAAGAAATGGATAAATTCCTGGACACATACACCCTCCCAAGCCTAAACCAGGAAGAAGTTGAATCTCTGAATAGACCAATAACAGGCTCTGAAATTGAGGCAATAATTAATAGCCTACCAGCCAAAAAAAGTCCAGGACCAGACAGATTCACAGCTGAATTCTACCACAGGCACAAAAAGGACCTGGTACCATTCCTTCTGAAACTATTCCAATCAATAGAAAAAGAGGGAATCCTCCCTAACTTGTTTTATGAGGCCAACATCATCCTGACATCAAAGCCTGGCAGAGACACAACAAAAAAGGAGAATTTTAGACCAATGTCCCTGATGAACATCGATGTGAAATCTTCAATAAAATACTGGCAAACTGAATCCAACCGCACATCAAAACCTTATCCGCCATGTTCAGGTCGGCTTCATTCACAGGATGCAAGGCTGGTTCAACATACGCAAACCATTAAGCATAATCCATCACATAAACAGAACCAACAACAAAAACCACATGATTATCTCAATAGATGCGGAAAAGGCCTTCAACAAAATTCAACAGCACTTCATGCTAAAAACTCTCAATAAACTAGGTATCAATGGAACGTATCTCAAAATAATAAGAGCTATTTATGACAAACCCACAGCCAATATCATACTGAATGGGCAAAAACTGGAAGCATTCCCTTTGAAAACCGGCACAAGACAAGGATGCCCTCTCTCACCACTCCTATTCAACATAGTGTCAGAAGTTCTGGCCAGGGCAATCAGGCAAGAGAAAGAAATAAAGGGTATTCAATTAGGAAAAGAGGAAGTCAAATTGTCCCTGTTTGCAGATGACATGATTGTATATTTAGAAAACCCCATCATCTCAGCCCAAAATCTCCTTAAGCTGATAAGCAACTTCAGCAAATCTCAAGATACAAAATCAATGTGCAAAAATCACAAGCATTCCTATACATCAATAACAGACAAGCGGAGAGCCAAACGTGAGTGAACCACCATTCACAATTGCTACAAAGAGAATAAAATACCTAGGAATCCAACTTACAAGGGATGTGAAGGACCTCTTCAAGGAGAACTACAAACCACTGCTCAACTAAATAGAAAAGGACATAAACAAATGGAAGAACATTCCATGCTCATGGATAGGAAGAATCAATATTGTGAAAATGGCCATACTGCCCAAGGTAATTTATAGATTCAATGCCATCCCCATCAAGCTACCAATGACTTTCTTCACAGAATTGGAAAAAACTACTTTAAAGTTTATATGGAACCAAGAAAGAGCCCACATTGCCAAGACAATCCTAAGCAAAAAGAACAAAGCTGGAGGCATCATGCTACCTGACTTCAAACTATACTACAAGGCTACAGTTACCAAAACAGCATGGTACTGGTATCAAAACAGAGATATAGACCAATGGAACAGGACAGAGGCCTCAGAAATAACACCACACATCTACAAACATCTGATCTTTGACAAACCTGACAAAAATAAGAAATGGGGAAAGGATTCCCTGTTTAATAATGATGCTGGGAAAACTGGCTAGCCATATGTAGAAAGCTGAAACTGGATCCCTTCCTTACACCTTAGACAAAAATTAATTCAAGATGGATTAAAGACTTACATGTTAGACCTAAAACCATAAAAACCCTAGAAGAAAACCTAGGCAATACCATTCAGGACATAGGCATGGGCAAGTACTTCATGACTAAAACACCAAAAACAATGGCAACAAAAGCCAAAATAGACAAATGAGATATAATTAAACTAAAGAGCTGCTGTACGGCAAAAGAAACTACCATCAGAGTGAACAGGCAACCTACAGAATGGGAGAAAATTTTTGCAATCTACTCATCTGACAAAGGGCTAATATCCAGAATCTACAAAGAACTTAAACAAATTTACAAGAAAAAAACAACCCCATCAAAAAGTGGGCACAGGATATGAACAGACACTTCTCAAAAGAAGACATTTATGCAGCCAACAGACACATGAAAAAATGCTCATCATCATGGTCATCAGAGAAATGCAAATCAAAACCACAATGAGATACCATCACATGCCAGTTAGAATGGCAATCGTTAAAAAGTCAGGAAACAACAGATGCTGGAGAGGATGTGGAGAAATAGGAACACTTTTACAGTTGGTGGGAGTGTAAACTAGTTCAACCATTGTGGAAGATGGTATGGTGATTCCTCAAGGCCCTAGAACCAGAAATAACATTTGACCCAGCAATCCCATTACTGGGTATGCACCCAAAGGATTATAAATCATGCTACTATAAAGATACATGCACACGTATGTTTACTGCCGCACTATTAACAATAGCAAAGACTTGGAACCAACCCAAATATCCATCAATGATAGACTGGATTAAAAAAATGTGGCACATATACACCATGGAATACTATGCAGACATAAAAAAGGATTAGTTAATGTCCTTTGGAGGGACATGGATGAAACTGGAAACATCATTCTCAGAAAACTGTCACAAGGACAGAAAACAAAACACCACATGTTCTCACTTATAGGTGGGAATTGAACAATGAGAACACTTGGACACAGGGCGGGGAACATCACACATGGGGGACTGTCGGGGGTAGGAGGCTGGGGGATGGATAGCATTAGGAGAAATACCTAATGTAAATGACAGGTTGATGGGTGCAGCAAACCAATATGGCACATGTATACCTATGTATCAAGCCTGCACGCACATGTGCCCTAGAATTTAAAGTATAATAATAATAATAAAAGAACACAATCCTATTCACAATAGCCACCAAAAAATAAAATACCTAAGAATACAGCTAACCAGGGAGGTGAAAGTTCTCTACACTGAGAATTACAAAACATTGATAAGAGAAATCAGAGATGACACAACCAAATGGGAAAACATTCCATGATCATGGATAGGAACAATCAATATTGTTAAAATGGCCATACTGCCCAAAGCAATTTACAGATTCAAGACTATTCCTATCACAGTACCAATGACATTCTTCACAGAATCAGAAAAAGCTATTCTAAAATTCACATGGAACCAAAAAAAGAGCCCAAATAGCCAAAGCAATCCTAAGCAAAAAGAACAAAGGTTGAGGCATCACATTACCCAACTTCAGCTGTACTACAGGGCTGCAATAACCAAAATAGCATGATACCAGTACTAAAACAGATGCATAGACCAATGAAACCAAATAGAGAGCCCAGATATAAAGTTGCACACCTGCAATCATCTGATCTTCAACAAAACCAACAAAAACAAGCAATGAGGAAAGGACTCCCTAGTCAATAAATGGTACTGGGATAAATGGCTAGCTATATGCAGAAGATTGAAACTAGACCCCTTCCTTACACCATATACAACAATTGTCTCAAGATGTATTAAAGACTTAAATGTAAAACCTAAACTACAAAAACCCTTGAAGAAAACCCAGAAAATACCATTCTGGTCACAGACTCTGGCAAAGATTTCATGGCAAAGACACCAAAAGCAATTGCAACAAAAGCAAAAACTGACAAATGGGACCTAATTAAACTAAAAAGCTTCTGTACAGCAAAAGAAACTATCAACAGACTATCAACTGACTAAACAGACAACCTACAGAATGGGAGAAAATATTTGCTTCTTTGTCTTTCAACACCACGACTATCCCCTCACCTCTAGGTCAGGAATTGGCAAACTATGGCCACTTGTTTATCTATAGCCCATGAACTAAAAATGGTTTCATATATGCGTAAATGGTTTTTGAAAAAGCAAAAGAAGAAGACACAATAAAATTATAGGAAATACAAATTTCAATGTCGTTTTATAAAGTTTTATTGGAACACAGTCATGCTCATTTGTTTACATACTGTCTGTGGCTGCTTTGCACAATAATGGCAGAGTTGAGTAGCTGCAACAGAGAATGTATGGCCTGCAAACTCAAACTCTAAAATATTTACTATCGTGCCTGTGACAAAAAAGATTTGCCAACCATTGCTCTAGGCATTTATCTTTTTTCTTTTCTTTTTTTTTTTTTTTTTACTTCTCATTCAACAGTGAAATTTTGTCTATCAGCTAGTAGGTATGAAGTTATTTTTTAGATTTGGAGTTATACAACAGAATTCCTAACTTTGTTTTGATATGTAGATAAGCCCTGATCCAGCTTATTTTTTCTTTGCTAAGTAACTGAAACTCTTCACAGCATGAGTTCAAACTGACAAATTTCAATTTACAGCAAATTGAAGTAGAAACTTAAAGCTCAAAACCCTCTAAGCCAAGCATTTTTCTGGGCATTGATACTCCTCTTGGGCATCCCCTTCAGTGGTCTTGCAGCATGAATCACACCCCTTCCTGGAGAGACCCGGGCCATATTTAGACAGTAATAAAGGACTAGAACATTTTTTCTCATATTCATACTAAATCTATTTCCCAATGTATTCTACCCATGAGCCACAATTGTGTGTTTGACATCCCAGATTATAAGCCCCTTCCATTCAAAGGTCCTTGCAAATAATTCAAGACAACTATTGCATGAGTACCCATTCCTCCATGTTTAAATTCCCAATTTCTTGAACCTATCTTCACAGTATGAGGTTTGGAGTATCCTCCCCATCCTATTCACTTCATTCTGAATATGTTTCAGTCTGTGTTCCTGTTCTAGGTGTCATTTATAAGTAGAGTTATGCTGCTAGGTTTTTACTTTTATTAATGCAGTCTCTACTTAGTAAACAATACCTTGCAAATAAACATCTCCAATTTTGTGAGTAAACCCACCAAATCATCTGTTTTCTCAAATTGAATCAGCAGAAGTTTAAGCATTATGACTTTCTTTTCTTTTAGTTGCTTACATACTTTATCCCTTAGGTCATGGCTGATGGTAGCATATCAACTATATTACCTGAAAAAAAATTGGAAGATGATTTAAATGAGAAAACTGAGGGCTATGATAGTCTGTCCTCTATGCACCTTGAAAAGAATCATCAGCAAATCTATGGTGAACATGTCCCCAGGTAAAAGAATAATACTATAATTTTACTTTTAATTCTGAGTTCAAGGAGAATTTTAACGGAATACTTGAAGTGATTATATTTTTATTTCTTCAAATAGGTTTTTTGTTATGTATGCTGATGGATCAGGAATGGAACTTCTTCGAGACAGTGACATAGAAGAATATCTATCTTTGGCATATAAAGAATCAAATACTGTTGTTCTCCAAGAGCCAGTGCAGGAACAGCCAGGTAGAGGACCCATACTGTCTGGAATGCACGGTGTCTCTTTGCCAATTCTCATCCTCCTTACTATCCAGTCTATCTTCATGTCATCTTACTTTTTCCGCTTTGCTCACTTTTCTGCTCTACTTTGGAAAGTAGAGCAGAAATAAGTTGACATGAATAAGTCATGTCAACTTATTTATATAGCTACTTGAATTTATGTGTATATCAAGATACATCTGAGCACCAGTCTGCATACGCTGAGTATGTATCCCTCTTCTCCTATACGCAGATTTGTATCTGTGTTTAGGTATGTACCAAAGTTCTGATTTATGAGTTCATTTCATCTTGGTAAGAAAAAACAAAGAACAGTGAGATATCTCTTGTAAATTCATTTTTTGTCATTTTGAAGATATTGCTTTGATGAAATTGATAGGTGAGTTATAATGCCAACCTGAAATACCCGGTAACTTATATAAGCTACATTCATTGGGTACTTACATTGTTTTCATCAACTTCAAAGAAATTGGTGTTTGCCAGAGGTTAGAGATACATAAAACATTAAGTAAGAACCATCCAGTATATGTAATATGTGTATTTAAATATAGATATTAGCCTACATATTATCTGTGTACAAAACCTATGTGCTGTGCCTAGGTTTGTGTGTGTGTGTGTGTGTGTGTGTGTGTGTGTGTGTGTGTTATTTCATCTTTTTTCTGTGTTTTGGGATACATTTTGTGTGCATTTATAAATATGCCTGCATTTCTGTGCCCTTATAACTTTTAGTTTATCAATGCACATGTGCATGACATTAATACACCTTGCTCTTTGTGAATATGGAATATGGGGGACTCTGACTGACCCCCAGTCAGTGTGGTGCATGTATGGAACTGTGGGAGAATAAGAATTCATCTCACATTGGTTTGTTAGTCATTTAACTAACCTCTATTTGGCAAACCACCATGTACTAAACACTGGCTGGGTGTTAGGAATACAATGGTGAACTAAAACAGGCATGGACCCTGTTTCAGTGGAGCTCTTAGGTTACTGGGAGAGATAGATGTTAACTATAAAGTCACACAACTGTATGATTATAAGTTGGGATAAGGTCTCCGAGGGGAAAGAACATAGTTCTATGAGAGAATCTAACAGAAGAAACTGACATAGTCAAGAAGGCTTCCCTGAAGACACCTGAGCCAAGAGCTAGTGGGTAGGTAATGGTTAATTAAGGTAAGAGAGAGAGCTTTTTTGGAAAAGAAAACATAAAGGAGAAAGCATAAAGCATTGGAAAACACGGGTTGGGGGAAAGGCCAAAGTAGCTGAAGCACAGAGGGGAAGAATAGTACAAGTTGAGGTAGAGGCAAAAGAATGTTAAGGACCATCTTTTATCTCATGAGCGATGTGAAGGCAAAAAAGAGTTTTCATCATGGACTAACATAATCAGTCACCCTGACTGCAAGGGAAGGTTCATTCACAGAGTATATATAGGTGGCAAAACCAGTTGTTGCTGTAGTCTAGAGCAGGATCTTTTTGAGGCACATAAAGTAGGGTTCACAGAGAGGGAAAAAGATGGACTCAACAAGTTTATTGGGAGAACTGACAGAACTTGTATGTGGTTGGTGAGGGACGATGAGGTGTCAATGAATACTTCCAGGTGATCTAAATCTAGTCTCTAGGTGTCACAGTGCCTAAAAGCTTCATCCTTCTTATTTGATTGTAAGGTTCCTAAGTATAGTCATTGTGTCTCATTAGTCTTTCATGTCTAAGTCTGTTCAAAAAGAGCTTGTTGAATTTAGTCAATGCGTTTTCATTTTCTCTGAGTACTTTCAATGGGTAATGGTCTTCTGACAACTTTCTTTGAACCAGGCACCCTAACCATCACAGTCCTTCGCCCTTTCCATGAAGCATCACCATGGCAAGTAAAAAAGGAAGATACAATTGTCCCTCCTAATCTCCGGTCAAGGTCATGGGAAACATTTCCCTCAGTTGAGGTATATAATTTCTTCTAAAAAGTCATTTTATTAGCGTATACATCCATCCAAGGGCAATGGACCAGAGTCTTAAGTCTTCTCCCATATATTCATATATTTTCATTCTTATGTAAATTTTTAATGTGCTCAAGGAGTTTTATATTTGAAGATTCTAACATTTGTAGATGTGGCAACAACATTTCAGAGGAATACTCCTGGCTAGCTCATTTCAGTTTTATTTCTTTTATCCTGTATTGCAGGCTTGAACATCTTCCTATAATATGCAAACATTCTTTCTGAGTAAGCCAGGTTACACCTCTGTCATGGAATTACTGATATTATATCATACAGAAATCTTTCCTTCTATCATTTCTTATTTGTTAATTTTAACACACAATTTTGTGCCTTTTACTCTCCCTTTTTTTCTTCATATATTAAAAATGCACGAACTGACCATCTAAGAACAATATGAAGGATTTTACGCACATTTGCAATTGCAGTGTTAGAAAGTAAACATTGTAATTATGTCAGTTAAGAGAAGCTCCAGCTAAATTTTTTAAAAAAATAAAATATCTTGGGTAAGAATCAATGAAGTCCTGCATCTTGCATAATTTACCATTTCATTTTACAAGCAATTTATGTCACATGTCCAACATATTGTCAGGTGTTAAATAATTAAATCAGTGAAGCTATTGATGGTATGATCAGAGATTGATAGTAGTGTTAATTGAGATAATGTTTTTGATTGTCATCATTTTTGCTGTCCTACACTAAACCTTGTAATAGCAAACACAAATGATGAACATTTAAGATTACAATGACCTCCTAGCCCTGTGGTTAAATTTGGTGACTATAGTCAACATGGTAATATGAAGGTGACTTGAATTCTGGTCCTGATTCTACCCCTTATTAAAGTGGGATCTTGGACAAGTCACACTGGGTCTCCATTTCCTTCTCTGAAAATGAGGAGGTCACACCAAATGGCACACTAAGGCTATATCCAAATTTTAAGTACTACATGATGACAAAGGGTATGCCACATCTAAGATTATTGAAGGAAGTTTATTCTCATCCTCTGAAACCCTTATGCTCTGACCTTCTACATCTGGTAGGAGTGGCACAGGCCTGCAAAGCCCCTAAGTGGCTGTCACAGGCCAGGCCTTTTGAAATGAAGCACATCCAGCACACCTGAGAACATAGTAGGGCAGCAAAGCACACTATTCCTGAAAATCGATCACAAGTATAACATATAATGTGAGTTTACTCTAAGGTAGATTTTTCTGCCCCAGGGATCCTCAGACTCTGGAGGCATGCTTAGTCTAGATTAAGCTCAAAGATGGCCCAGATCTATGGAATTATTTCTCTTGCAAAGAATCTTTCTAGGTCAAAATCAACACAGAACCAGAAAGTGAAAGACTGCTCAGTTCCAAATGTCTTCAGCTACTTGTGGATACTAAGAAATAGCCACATCCATTTGTCATAAGCTAGGCTGCTATTACATTGCTTAGCACTCTTCTACATCCTACCCAGGACACCATGCAACAGGATTTTTAAATATCCAGTATCTTAGTAACATAAATAAAGAGGAAAGCAGGCCCAGTTCTGTTATCGATTTTCCTTATATTTGCAGAACTTTTTGAGGTTAAGGATTTTTTTTCACCACTGTGTCCCTAAAAAGTTATTATGATATCTATGTAATAAATGAACAGTTAAAAAAAATTTGAATGTGAAAACATTCTGATTTCTTTGGTGGTGTTATTGCTTTGTTTTGTTAACAGAAAAAAACTCCAGGACCTCCGTTTGGTACTCAGATTTGGAAAGGCCTTTGCATTGAGTCCAAACAGCTAGTGAGTGCCCCGGGTGCCATACTCAAGAGCCCCAGTGTGCTACAGATGCGCCAATTCATTCAGCATGAGGTCATAAAGAATGAGGTGAAACTGAGGCTGCAGGTTTCCCTTAAGGTAATGGAATCTAGGTGACCTGACCCAAAAGAATCAGAAACAGAGCAATCATTGCTTTTGGTTTCCTAAGAAACCTGAAATTATGTAATTCTACCAATATTTGTCTAGTGCAACACAAGGATGTCAGTCTTTCAGAGTAGAGGGTTGAGAGGTAGAAAATATTTAATGGTTCCCATAAGGTGTAGAAATTATTAAGAAGCCCCAAAGACATTGAAAAAGTAAGAATTTTTTGTAAATGATTACTATATAGTGCCCTCCATCTTTGTCACTGTATAGAAAACTGATATAGTGACCACTGGAAAAAGACAGAACTACATATTAATATATTTGTCCACAGAGTAAAAGCCTTTGGAAGCGGTCTAAGAATTTGTAAATATATAGTTAATTGTATGATCATGTCTATAACATCTCAAGTTTGTTAACTCCCTCAGTACAGGGATTATATGTGTTTTGTTTATGGTTATATACCTAGCACCTGGCACAGAGCAGGGTATTATTAGTTATAGAAATTGATCAAATACTTATGAAAAAAATAAAGTACGTTTCTCTTCGAAGCAAAGACATGAACTAGGCAAATTCCATTTACAGGTAAAATAAAAAAACTATACCTGAAAGGATCCTACACATCATCTAACCCAATTCTGTCCATTTTATTGATGAGGACACTTAAGTGCACAGTTAGAAACAGGGCCTCTCTGAGGCCCCCATGCAGTTCTATCCTGTGGCCCTTAAAGCTTTGCTTTTGCACTTCTCAGGTTTTTCCTATTAACATATTAAGAAAAAGTCTTTTCAGGTTGTTTGACTAGTAAACAGTTGTTGAGCACTGTAAACCTATATATTCTTCATTTTTTGTAATATTTCAAGTTGATGACCATTTTTGTATCTCTCTCTTCCTAATTCCTAGTTTTTGTCTATGTATTTTATTCTGCTGATTTAGGATTACATAAACTATATTCTAAAGAAAGAAGATGAGCTGCAGGAAATGATGGTTAAAGATTCCAGAACTGAGGAGGAGAGAGGCAATGCTGCTGATCTCCTCAAGCTGGTTATGGTGAGAAAATGCCTTGTATACCCATGTTCTTACTATTGTTTCAATATTAAATGTTTCAGGACAAAATATCGTAAGAAATAGCTGCTTCTGCCACTTCCATGAAGCATTTGCTCCCTCCTCATAATTTTCAATTTTTGTGGAAATCCATTTGTCTATATATTGCATTTTCCAAATACATTTTAGGCTCTTCATAAATAATTCACAAGGCCCTTAAATGAAACTTTTATTGTCTTCAAAAGAAATTGATATTTATTGAAATGCTGAATGAACTAATGAATGAAATAGGAAAGAAGAAGAAAAAGGAATTTTTACAAGTTAAAATCATTTCCATTTTTAGACATTAGTGAAGTAGAAAGAATGACCTAGAAAAATTAATTTTATATCAGTATTTTTAAACTAATTCATTTTATAGTAGTTTTTACAAAAGATCAGCTTGAGAGAATGTTTCTAAACAAAGTAAGTCTTGTAAGTAATATAATCATCATAAGTAATTCTATCTTCATTTCAGTCTTTCCCTAAAATGGAGGAAACTACAAAAAGTCATGTTACTGAAGGTAAGTTGCATTTAATATTCTTCTGCAGTATATTTACAAGTTTCAAAGGAATCATCTTAAATACACTTATCGGTCATTCTCTTATCTGATAACAAGACACCATGTACATATCTCCATTCTTGTATCGGCCATGTTGTGTTGTGGTGGTTTATATTTGTAAGTCATTCTGCCTGTATTGTTCTGCCTGAGCTTTGACATCCTAGAAAACCATGATTTTCTCTCATTCATCTTTAACTTTCATCCATTAAGTGAAAAATGTTGACATTTGACTTTTATGTTAGCCTCAACTATAATGAAGATATAGGAAGGAAACAGTCAACCAACCAACAGCCTGCCCTCCCACACACAAAATTTTTGAGCAACTACACTGTTATAACCAAAACTTTGCACTGTTTTACACTGTATGTAGTGCAAGTAGTTTACTCTTAGATCTCATTCAAAGAATATTCATTTGGAGGTATATATACACAGCCCTAACAAATGTGGTTAGATGGTTTCATAGCTCACAGCAAACAAGCAGTAGGAATTTGGTGCGTTTTTGTTTTGTTTTGTTGGCGATATGGCAAAGATCATAAACTGGCAGCCATGCGCTTCATTCAGCCCACAGATAGGTTCTGAGTATCCTCCACAGTGTGGGCTTGTACAGTTGTTTTTATTGTTGTTGTTGTTTATCCAGATTTTTCTCCTCTTGAAATCTCACATTATTACATAGTAAATTTGGCTGAAGATAATTGACAGCTGCTTCTTTAGAATGACCATCACAGGAGTCCATCACAACCCCCTATGTCTCCGTGTCCCTATACTCTGTGGTCACCCTTTTACCCTGGGCAACTCCTGTAGTAGGGTGGCCAGATTTAGTGAATAAAAATAAAGAAGGCCTAGTTAAATTTTAGATGAATGACAAATAATTTTTTTTAGTATAAGTACACTATAGTTTGGATGTTTGACCCCTTTAAATCGCATGTTGAAATTTGATCCCCAGGCCCGGCCTGGTGGCTCTTGCCTGTAATCCTAGCACTTCGGGAGGCCAAAGTGGGTGGTTCTCTTGAGCCCAGGTGTTGGAGACCAGCCTGGGCAACATGGCGAAACCCCATCTCTATGGAAAATACAAAAAAAAATTAGTCAGGTGTAGTGGTGCATGCCTGTGGTCCCAACTACTCTGGAGACTGAGGTGGGAGGATAGCTTTCGCCTGGTAGGTGATGGTTGCAATGAGCAGAGATCATGCCACTGTACTCCAGCCTGTGCAACAGAGCAAGACCCTGTCTCAAAAAATAGAAAAGAAAAGAAATTTGATCCCCAATGTTGGAGGGAGGAGGGGCCTAATGGGAGGTGTTTGGGTCATGGGGGTGGATCCCTCATGAATGGCTTGGTACCTTCTGTCCTCTTGGTGGTGAGTGAATTCCCACTCTATTAGTTGCCATGAGAGCTGGTTGGTAAAATGAGTCTGGCATCACCCCTCTCTCTGTTGCTTCCTTTTTCGTTATGTGATCTCTATACATGCCGGCTCCCCTTCCCCCATTTCCATGAGTGGAAGTAGCCTAAGGTCCTCACCAGAAGCAGATGACCGCACCATGCTTCTTGCACAGCCTGCAGAATTGTGAGCCAAAGAAACCTCTTTTCTTTATGAATTACACAGCCTCAGGTACTATTTTATAGCAACACAAAGCAGGCTGAGACACAGTGTGTCCCCAGAAGCCTGGGATATACTTATAATAAAAAGTTGTTTGTTTATTTGAAATTCAAATTTAACCAGGGGCCCTATACTTTATCTGGCAACGCTACCCTGTAGCTTTTGAATTTTTAACCTCTGGGACAAGGAACAGGCACAACAAAGGAAAACACATAGGTTTTCCAAAAGTGAAATACAAACTAACGTATTTTTTTAAACAAACAGTTCCAGGAAATAAACAGCTGTTGCATACCTGACATGTTAATTAAAATGATCCTAAATCAATATTTTCCCATAGTATTTCCTAAAACACTCATCTATGAGAAGACTCCACCAAAAATGAGTTTCATATTAAAATAAGTTTGGATAATGCTTCATATTGTCTTATTTTCTTAGTGAGTCACAATGACGTTAATTAATTAAAGATGCGGAAAAGTAGTGAAACCTATTTAACCTTGGATAAATCAGTGTTTCCCAAGCTCATATAACCGTGAAACATGAAAATCTTTTCCTCTTTTTAATCTCCCATTGACATCCCACCAAGAGCGTGTTTTGTGAATAAACTGAGAATCGCTGCCTAAATTGTTGAACAACCATTGTCTTATAATCATGTTCTTAGATTCGGGAACAGGAAAATATCCAGAAAAACAATTTCAATGTTATGGTTAATTTGTTTTAAGGTTTGCTGCTTCAGATATGAGGAAATTCAGTTAAGTAGAACACCACTTCCCCTAATAATATGGGATAAATGAGATATCACTGCATTTTACATTTTGACTATAAGTTGTGTGTTTTCTAGTAGGATATTTCATAAAAGTAGTCTAGTTTTCTGTTGTATTACAGCTTGGTCATGTAAGTCCTAGTAAACACTTGATAGATTAACTATATAGGCTCTTAACAGGCATCTCAAATGAGTAATTGTGTACTGATTGTGTGTTGCCCTATAAAGAAGTGGGGATAAAAGTTAAATACATCTATGTTTAAAGTTGCAGCTCACCTAACTGATTTATTCAAGCAGTCTTTGGCTACGCCTCCAAAATGCCCACCAGACACATTTGGTAAAGATTTCTTTGAAAAGACATGGAGGTAAGCTAATCCAATAATGTGTTCTAATTAGTATTAGGTATGCAGTGATTGAGGAAATGGAATATGCAGGTGCTATAACTTTTGGTGACTACATCAATGAATTCACAGCCCTTCATCTCCCATACTATTAATAATTCATCATATAGTGGTGAGGGTTTTTGGTTTTGTTTTTAAGCTGAAATCATTGCCCCTTTTCACCATACTTTCCTTTCCTTTCACATAGACACACAGCATCCTCAAAACGCTGGAAAGAAAAGATAGACAAAACGAGGTAATTATACCCCAAAACGCACATAAGGACCTGAAAGGGCCCAGAGTAATAGACTGAGAATGGGATAGGCCAAAATGTCCTGCCAGGCACCCAGATGTTATTTGATTCTCTTCTGCAACATGTCTACCAAGTGGTCATTCAGCTCTGTGTGATGACATCACTGTCTCTTGAGGAAACCCATTTGACCATTAGATAGATCCTCTTCCTCTCCTAAGCAAGAAAGCTCTCTAGGCCCTCAATGTGCTTTAGGTGATTCTGATATACTAATAAATATTCTGGAACTTAATGCAGAACACAGTCATAAACTTTCAAGGTTCTTATAATTCACAGGAGGAATGTGCTCTAAGCATTATATGGTTTGGTTTCCTTTTAGTCCTAGCTGGGGATTTCAACTCCAGCTGTCTTGTCAAAGAGAAAAGAAGCCAGATATATTTGTTGACTATGTAGCAGTACTCATGAAACTATCTATTGTACACATTTGCATGGCTTCTCTTCAGGATAACTTCAGGATTAATATGTTTCTTCATAAAAATGTCAGGGTTGTCTTGTGAAATGTGTTAGGGGAGTGCTGAGATAAGACTTTAAGCCTCATGGGTCACCTCCCCTATACAAGGTCAAACTAGAAGGGATATACTGTCTGCAGGGAGGATAGCTTAAGTTTTGCGTGACATGACAGTCTTTATAAGGAAATGAAGACCCAAATAAATGGCTAAACCTGAGTGTCTTTATGCTAGGTTTGATGAAGAATGGACACTCATGGAGAAATATGATAGGGCAAAAAAGCACAATCTAATGGTAATAAGCTGGGGGGCTATAGCAAGGTCTGTTGCTCAGATTCCTCTCTGTGCATCTGTGTCTTCAGAGATAAGGATGCTCCTTTCCTGTGGGTATTTCAAGGGCACCTCTCATGAGAGAGTCTTATGAGCTGCTTCAGGGGAAGGTCAGAAAATCCTTTCTAGGTTTTATGTCCTGCTTCAGGGAAGAAGAGCAGAGGGAAGGTGAGAGTAAATTTCCTGTTTCTGCCATTTTCTCAAATTCCTTCAGCTGAAAATATTCAGTGTGTCAAGGTGCCATATTTTAAGGTAGTGTTCCCTGAAGCACATTATTTTCAGAATATCCCTAAAGGCTTCTCCAAGAGACAGTGATTGCCTGAGAGGAAGGAGATTGAGAGATGGGGTATAGGATGAGATGGAGACTTCATTATTACATACTCTTGAGTGTTCTTTAAACTGTGTACATATGCCTGTATTATCTATACAAACTTTTTAAATTTTGAAACATTAACAATTTCAAGTTTTAACTTATAGGTATATAATGGCAAGCCAGTGAAAGTTTTTTGAAGAAGAGTGAAACATATAATTAGATGAGTGTCACAGAAATACAAGTGTTGGCAATGTGGAAAATGAACTGGGTCAAGGAAAGAGAAAGTTTCAAGGAAATAGAAGCTGGTCAGCAAATGTCAGATGCTGTAGAAAAATCAGAAATGGGAATGAAAAAAGGAATTTGAGTTTATCAGTTACAAGGTTGATTAGTTTCTTTTGTGAGAATAATTTTAAGAGAGTGGTGGGCAGCAGCCAGACTGCCGTAGATCGATGAGTGAATCCAGTGAGGCAGTAGAGATAAGAAACTTTTAATGGGAAGTGAAAGTTGTTTAAGTAAGTTTGTATTTTGGTCATGCCTGTCTGATATTTCCAGACAGGTCAACTAGTATAAGAGCACTGGTCACAGATCCAGTCAGTTACAATTTGATTACTTACAGAACGTATGATGCTGGCTGGTTGTTTCACTTCAGTAACATTTACTTCAGGAGTTCAGTTTGCTCATCAATAAACTGAGGCTAATTGGACTGCCAAATATCTAAGGTCTCTTTTAGCTCTCACACTGGGGGACTGACGGCTGACTAGCATGTGCAGTTGTCAAGACCATGGGTTTGGAGGCAAGCAACCTGGGTTTTAATTTAGATTCCACCCTTTATTGGTAATGTGATTTGGAATAGGTTACTTAACCTCTCTATGCTTTGGTTTTTCAACTCATAAAGTGAGGATAAAAATAGTAACTCACAGGGTTATTGTAAGATTAAATGTAAAATATTTTGCAAAACTTAAGTTTTTTAGTGCAATAAGCACTTAAAAATGAAAAGTATTTCAGGGAGGATTGAGTTCAGCTACATTTAACAGAAAACCTCCAAATCAGTGCTTGTATTAAAAAGGGGCTTATTTTCCTAACGTGAAAAAAGTCAGAGGTGGGCAGTTGATGGTAGGAAGCACCACAACATCATCAGGAATTCAGATTCCTTCTTTTTATCTGTTCCATCATTCTTAGTACATCATTTCCATGCTCAAGCTTACTTCATAGTTGCAAAATGATTGCTGCAGCCCCAGCCATTACATTCATATTTCAGGAAGTAGGGAAAGACATGAGGCAAGGACCAGGAAAAGTTTCCCAGTTGAGTCAGCCCTCTTTAAAAGCTCCTGGACTCTTACCCAATGACTTAAGTTTACATCTCATTGGCTTTCCCTATATAATGTCTCCCCAACATAGGGGTTCTGGTATTGGAAAGCAGTACTATCCTGATTGCTTTTCTTTAACTCTATAACCACTGACCACATTATTCACAAATCATGCCTCAAGTTTTTGTTTTTGGTTTGTTTGGGTTTTTTTGTTACTACTGCTACAGAAATTATGAAAACCAGTAGACTCTAGCTGTCATTTCAACCTCAGAGAATTGAAAAACCTCAAAAAGTTTAACCATTACAGGGCTATGTGGTTTTTAGCCTTTTGAGATCAACTACAAAATCAAACTAACACCTGGTATCATTATTTCTTATCTTACATGAGAGTCTGATTTTTGAAGTAGGAAATGTGAGTGATTCTAAAAGAAGAGAAAATTAACCAAAACAAGTTGACAAAAATATCTAATAAATTAATTCTTGTCAGTTTTATTGTTAGTGATTGCATTCATTTTTGTGGGATTTAGAGCTAAAGCACAAACAAACAACACTTTAAAATATTCTATGTCTTCTTTTGCATCATCATGGAAACATCAACCAGGAAGGAAATTGAGACAACACAGAATTACCTAATGGATATTAAGAACCGCATAATACCACCCTTTTTTAAATCTGAATTGAACCAGTTATATCAGTCTCAGGTAATTGAATATAATGAACTATAATCTAATAAAAGTTTTTATAAATTTGGTATATTGCATATGTTATTATGTAATCTGTCTTTCCTGATGCTGTTTAATTCTTTCCTGCATCGACCTGGCTGACTAACCTGTACCCTTCAAATCCATATTCTCACAAGCATGTGATAAGGAAGACTAATTTCAGGCCTTGCACCTAAGTAGAAGTTCTCTGCAATGTATAACTATCACTACCCCATCCTGCCTTTCAGTCTCACTATTACTTACCCTCTCCCATCTATGTTAAGCCTTTTTAGGCAGAATCTTTCCTATCATTGATTGTCCTCTGATAACCCATTTTGAAGTTTTTATTCAGTTAAAATTTCCTCACCCATCAGCTGCTAAGATAGCACTAAGAGATTGTGAGTTCTTGGAAGCTCAGGGAGGGAGAACGCTCTTCTCCTGTTCTATTTCAGCCTACCTGTAGGACCACAGCCCCGACCTTCCCATCACTGGCCAAAAGTTCATTAAAACCCTGAAGCAAAGCGAATATTTTCATATGTTCAGAACGCCCTGCATTTCTATGAAAATTTCAGAAGAAATTACAGGAAATTATGACTAGTTAACAAAAGCTAGAATTGGGTTAATCAGTCTCTTGTAGAATTTTAGTTTGTAAACTTTATTTTCAGGGCATTAAAAATATGTTTTCATTATTGCTTATTAATTTAACATATTTGCGACAGTTGAATTTCAGCCATGTATAAGTCTAAAATAAGTTTTTTTTTCCTTTCAGTATAATCACCTGGACAGTCTTTCCAAAAAACTGCCTTCTTTTACAAAGAAAAATGAAGATGCAAACGAAACAGCTGTTCAAGATACATCTGATCTTAATCTAGGTAATATGTTAGCATAGCACATATTCCTATTAAATGTCCGTAACTGAATAATACCTAACAGTGGCCTCTTAGGACATAACCAGTGATAGCTGATGACATAGCCTACAGTGACCTGCATATGACAGATCTGGCTGAGTTATATGAGAAAACAAATATGTAAATAACATTTAGTTTTCATCCTGTATGCTTAAAATTGGCCTAAATGCATTTAGGAGACCTGACTAATTTAAAAAGCAAGGAAGTAATGAAAGTTCACTGGGGAACAAGACATTCATAAGGTCTCAAAATATCAACCCACATATTACTTACAAATTATAAGGAGGAAAATGTATCTTTACAATGGAGACATTCAGCATTTTCTACCTTAACTAAGTCATCAAACTCCTACCAACAATGAGACAACCTAGCAGTAAGTGAGTTCTCATGTAATGCAACACAAAGTGCATAGATCCTTGATATGGTTTGGTTTTGTCCCCACCCAAATCTCGTCTTGAATTCCCATGTATTGTGGGAGGTACCTGGTGGGAGGTAATTGAATCATGGGGGCAGGTCTTTCCCGTGCTGTTCTCGTGATAGTGAATAAGTTTCATGAGATCTGATGGGTTTATAAGGGGCAGTTCCCCTGCACAAGCTCGCTCTCTATTTTCCTGCTGCCATTTATGTAAGACATGACTTGCTTCTCCTTGCCTTCCACCATGATTGTGAGGCCTCCCCAGCTATGTGGAACTGTGAGTCCATTAAACCTTTTTCCTGTAGACATGCCCAGTCTTGGATATGTCTTTATAAGCAATGTGAAAACCGACTAATACAATCCTATAGAGAATTCTTGCCAAAAATCCTTATCCAGAATCTAATCAAGAGGAAACAGAGAAAAATGTCTACCAAAATGCAGACATTCTATAAGACGACCAGCCCAGCCTCTTCAAAAATCAATGTCATTAAAACAAAAAAGATGGGATGATTGTTCTAAACTAAAACAGACTAAAGTGATATAAAAACTGAATGTGAAACCTAAGCTTTGATTGGATGCTTGATTGAGGAAAAAACAGCTATAAAAGATATTTTGGAGAAACTGCACAAGTTTGATTAGGAGACTATGTAAGAGAGGACATTGTTAAATTACTGTTAATTTCTTGGGTATGATGATGGTGCTGTGAATATGTAGGAGAATGTCTTCATTCTCAGGAACTGCATGCTGAAGAATTTAGGGATGAAATAAAATGTAGTGTTTCTCTCTAGTAAACTGAGTAGTTAAAATACCCAGATAGGGGGCCGGGCACGGTGGCTCACGCCTGTAATCCCAGCACTTTAGGAGGCCAAAGCGGGTGGATCACGAGGTCAGGAGATCGAGACCATCCTGGCTAACACGGTGAAACCCCGTCTCTACTAAAAATACAAAAAATTAGCCAGGCGTGGTGGCGGGTGCCTGTAGTCCCAACTACTAGGGAGGCTAAGGCAGGAGAATGGCGTGGACCCAGGAGGTGGAGCTTGCAGTGAGCTGACATCGTGCCACTGCACTCCAGCCTGGGCGACAGAGCAAGACTCCGTCTCAAAAAAAAAAAAAAAAAATAAGCAGATAGAGGAATTTTCTACTGTACCATACGATACTTGAAGTTCAGCTGTCTATAATGAACGCATACAATAGAAATATCTAATTATGACAGAGTTGGTAAACCAAAGATTAAGGCTGGAACAATGACTTATAAATGTGATGGGGAGAAATCAGGGATCAGAAATTGGTGGCTATTAGGTTGCGTCTCAGACCTCCTGCAGCCTGGGCAGTCAGCACTAACCAAACACTGCTTATTCTCCTCTTGAAATGGAGTGAGACTGCGGAAGTCTTTTCAGCACAGTACTTGAGGCAACCAGGACTATTCAACCAGGGTTGGCACACACACAAACTGAAATGTATTTGCCTCCTCAATCCTAGATAAATTTCTTTAAAATTTGTTTCCTATTGTACCTATTTCTTAAAGAGATACATTTAACAAAGAGCTACGTTTTCACAGTAATGAATGAATTTAAGTTTGGAAATTTCTGAAAAAAGATAACATCTCAGTTGCCGTTACCAGGTAAAAGTAGAAACAAATTACTTGGCCTCTTCTACATAACACAACAAGGTGACAACTCTACTATTTAGTCATAATGCCCATAAAGAACCAGCTAGCTCCTAGGGAGTACAAACTTTGCAAATACTTTACTGTTTGTTAATGGCAAACATTATATCATATTTTAAGAATCCCTGCCTCTTAATGGCTTTCTTATATTTAGTCTTTCTAAAGAGAGTGGCAGAAAAGGTACCTCATTCATTGTAAAACACCTTCTTCAATGTTTGTTCATGCAAACATTAGTAGTCATTATATCATTTTACAAAATATCACTTTATAAGGTTCATTTTGGGTTTTCTAGATTTCAAGCCACATAAGGTTTCAGAACAGAAATCCTCAAGTGTGCCTAGTCTTCCAAAACCAGAGATTTCTGCAGATAAGAAGGATTTCACTGCTCAGAACCAAACTGAAAATTTAACAAAATCTCCTGAAGGTATGGCAGTCTTTTTTATCTTATTGCTTCTTGAAACTGAACATTATGTCTTTTTGGCATATGGGAGATGGCGCTAGGAGGCGAGGTTGAGAGTTACAGAAAAAAATCGAGAGGGTCACGGATCCTGGAGCTATGCAGCTTTGCAAAGGCTTCTTAGCACATCGAAGTATCTCAAATAACATTTTTGAGAATGACTGCAAGTTCCAGACTGAAGGAAAGAAATACAAAGAAATCCTTTTTTGATGTTATTTTATTTCATTTTTACCTAATTTTATCCCTTTTAGTTCTCTGAGAACTTGTATGATTTATTGAAGATCAGATGACACTGATAGCTTTTCTTGAGTAACCAGAAATTTGGTACTTAGATTTACCTGTTATCTCAGTACTTTCTTGGTCCTGCAGGTGCTAGAAGAAAAATGTAAGATGTAGTCTCTATCTTACATAGCACATAATCTTATTGGACTAGCAGAAATTGAAATATAAAATAATACAGGATAATATCTAGTTACAGTGGAGTCACATTATGCTAATTTCGCTAAGATAATTCAACTAAATATAGTTGATCACAAAAGAGAGATAGAGAGACTAATTTGCATTGTGTAGATGATTTTGCCACCACTTGGTTCCTGTGGGCATGTTCCATGCTGAATGTGAGATGGGAATCTACTGATGGGTTTCAGTTATCTCTTATAGAGCAAGTATTTTGCCACATTTAAGTGTGAATTAAAAGATTTACCTGGCCAGGCACTGTGGCTCATGCCTGTAATCCCAGCACTTTAAGAGGCTGAGGTGGGCAGATCACTTGAGGTCGGGAGTGCAAGACCAGACTGGCCAATATGGTGAAACCCTGTATCTACTAAAAATACAAAAATTAGCTGGGCATGGTGGCGCTTGCCTGTAATGCTAGCTACCGAGGAGCCTGAGGCAGGAGAATCGCTTGAACCTGGGAGGCAGAGGTTGCAGTGGGCTGAGATCATGCCACTGCACTCCAGCCTAGGCAACAGAGCGAGACTCCATCCCAAAAAAAGAAAAGAAAAGAAAAAAGAAAAAAAAGATTTACCCCATACAAGACTTTTGTGTTTCTGACTTAAACTTCTCTCCTACAAGTTTTATTCATTCAGTGGATAATTACTCAATGCCTACTGTGTGCTAGGCATTGTTCTAGGCATGGATATACAATAGTAATGAGGGCACAGTCTGATGGAGCTAGACCCCTCCCATATCTGATGGAGCTAGACCCCTCCCATATTATGGGCAAACCTAGACAATATGTAAACAAATAAATAAGTCAGATAAATTCAGGTTGTAATAAATATTATGACATAATAAAACAGTACAATGTATGGACAGTGACTTGGGGAGAGGGGCAACATTCCATTAGGAGATTAGAAGGCCTCATTGTAAAAAAATAGTTGAGTTGAGACAAGTATAAGAAGGAGTCAGCCCTGCAAAGATTAGGAGAGCAATAGTTCATGTAGTAAGAATAGCAGGTAAGAAGTTCCTGAGGGGCAGAAACATTAAGGAGGCATGTAGCTAGAACAAATTGAGCAAAGGAAAAAGTAAAAGAAGATGAGGTCAGAGAGTGGGGCAGAGATTAGATCATGTAGTACTTCTCAGCGCAGTTTTATTCAAACGTCAGCGGAAGGTTTTGAGCAGGGTAGTTACATGGCTAATTTTTATTTTAAAAAGATCACTCTGTGAGGATAACAGCTCGTGGCAAGGAAAGGGAGGAGTGAGAAAAAGAGCAAGCAAGGAAGAAGCAACTGAAGTGGCACATGCGAGAGTTGCTGAAGACCTGGGCTATGGTGGGCGAAGAGGGAATGGTGAGAAGGAAATTAATAGGAACTATATCATGAGGGTGGAGCCAATAGAATTTGCTGCTCAAGAGGATGCAGGAGTGAGACAAAAAGAGGAATCAAGGATGATTCTTAGGTTAAACTGATTGTGAGGCTGAGAATTTGTAGTTTTGATGAGTTCACAAGTGGTGCTGATGTTGCTGATATAGGTTTATGCCTTGAGAATGGCTGTCCTGAGGCGAACTCTAGAAGGTAAAAGTCAGGCAGAGGAAGAGCTAGTAAAGGCCATTAAGAAGACGCCAGTAGGCCAGGCGCGGTGGCTCATGCCTGTAATCCCAGCACTTTGGAAGGCTGAGGCGGGTGGATCACCTGAGGTCAAGAGTTTGAGACCAGCCTGGCTAACATGCTGAAACCCCGTTTCTACTAAAAATACAAAAAATTAGCCAGGCATGGTGGCATGCACCTGTAATCCCAGCTACTCAGGAGGCTGAGGCAGGAGAATCGCTTGAACCAGGGAGGTAGAGGTTGCAATGAGCTGAGATCACGCCATTGCACTCCAGCTTGGGCAACAAGAGCGAAACTCCGTCTCAAAAAAAAAAAAAAAGAAGAGGAAGAAGCCAGTAAGGTAGCAGAAAAACAGGAGTGTGAAATCACTGAGTGTTTGGAGTGTATCAAATGCCCCTGCAAGGTCAAATGCCCCTCACCCCTGCAAGGTGAGGGAGGAAGATGGGATTGAACAAGATGAAGATCACTGGTGAACTTAACAAGGGCAGTTTCAGAGCATGGAGGGGATTGAAGCCTAAGTGAAGTGGGTAATAGATAGAATAGTGGCAGCACAAATGTACACAGCTTTACCCTAGAGTTTTGCTTAAAAGACTAGAGAAATGGAATTGCATATAAAAGAGGAATATGTAGTCAAGGAAGAGATATTTTTCTAAAGATTAGGCATACTAGAGCCTATTGATTTGCAAATGATGATAATTCCATGCCAGAGAGAACTTGATGATGCCAGAGAAAGAGGCACCTAAGGTGCAAGACCACAAGGTCCTAAAGAAGATGGAAGAACATGGCATCTGGGGAAAAACTTGAGTGACAGAATTAACCTTAGATATGAATAAGGTCACCTTCTCCATAGTGACAGGAGAGAAGAGAGAGAGTAGGGATACATTTGCAGGCAGGTTGATAGGTTTGGTGTGGGGAAGATGGATGAGGGAATTCCTGTCTGATTGCAAAGGAGTGGATATAATGATAGAGCATCAGATCTATTCCAGATAAGCAGGAAAGCAAAACAAGAAGGGAGGGACTGCTTGTGTAAGGTGAAGTGTTGGTGAGAGACCTCAGTGAGGTCAAATAATCGCCTGCTGGATATGACAGAATAATAAGCTAGAAGAATAGGAGGTGGTAATCCAGAAAGGGTACTGGAAACAGATTTTGAAAATGGTAAAATGATCGGGGTTGGCAAGGTAAAAAATGTGGCCATGAGACTCTGTGAGGTGGAAAAGATGAAGAAACGGTGTGATCAAGAATCAGATAAGACAGGGTGTTGGATGGATCATCCAGGTGATGTCATCAGGAAAGATAAAGTGGGAGACCCTCTCAGGTGTTAAAATCACCAGTGAATAAAAGGAATGATCGAGAGTGGTCAGTAAATGACAACCACTTGGAGAAGTAGTAACTAATACAGTCTGATGGCACAAGCTTCAAAGAAACAAAGCTTTGAAGGAGGAAAAATAAATTATTTGAAACACCTACTGCACCCCCAGATACCGAGGTACTTGAGATAAGGGACAATAATATGACTCCACTGTAAATGGAAAATTAAATTTTGATATAAAAAGTTTAAAGAAATTCAGAGTAGGAAGGAATTAACACAAAGCAGTGGAGAAAGCTTTATGGGAGGAATGGTCTTGAAAAATAAACAGAATTTCATAGATTTTAAGATTTAAGAGGTGAATCACCTACAACAACCCTCATTTTACTTAAGGAAACTGAAACCTGGAGAAGTCAAGTGACATCTAAAAATCATACAGCAAATTTGTGACTGAGCTAGGGCTGGAATGAGTTTTAAGACTCTTAATTCTCTATATTATGTTACACTACATTCCTGATGTAGGGAAGAGAAAAGAATATTTATTTTATTAATTTCTTTTTTTGAGAGGGAGTCTTGCTCTGTCGCCCAGGCTAGAGTGCAGTGGCACAATCTTGACTCACTGCAACCTCCACCTCCTGGGTTCAAGCAATTCTCCTGCCTCAGCCTCCTGAGTAGCTGGGATTACAGGCACCCACCATCACACCCAGCTAATTTTTTTTTTTTTTTTGTATTTTTAGTAGAGACGGGGTTTCACTATGTTGGCCAGTCTGGTCTCGAACTCCTGACCTCAGGTGATCTGCCCACCTCGGCCTCCCAAAGTGCTGGAATTACAGGTGTGAGCCACCGTGCCCAGCCTGAATATTTTATTTAAAATAAAATGAATGTGTTCAAAAGCTTGAAGGGAGAAATGAACAGGAAATCAGTGTAAGTAAATAAGAGAGTTTTTATTTGGTAATAATACAAGATGATGTCTGGAAAATACAATAGAGTCAGCTAGAGAAGGTGTGGACTTGCAAAATAAAACATGGGTTCAGTGCTGACTGTGATAATACTGCATGGAAGCACTGCCAAATCCTGTAGTGGCTTAAAACAACCAGTCTGAGGGCCTGTGGATGTCCATGGCAGCTCTGCCCCAGACTGGTACAAACCAGGGCAGTTTACCCTGGGAAAGGTAGTTGTTAACCATTCACCAGCACACCTCCGGCTGCAGGTAATGTTCAGGTGTATTCCAAGAATGCCACACTGTGGGAGCCAAGGAGCCACCACGTCAGGCAAGCCATCCTCACAGCAGAAGGTCAAAGCTCAAGAGAGTCCAGCAGAAGCACATGCTACCCCTCACAGCCTCTGCTCAGCCTGGCACACACTGCCATCCACAGACACATTTGTTGGTTAAAGCAAGTGCCGTAGCCAAGCTCAGAGTCAATGGAGCAGAAATATCTTCCACCTACAGGGAAGCCATCCTCAATGGGGAAATAAATAATTGTGAAGAAATAATCCACCTTCCTCAGCATGGTAACAAGGAACCACTACTGGTTCTTCACTCGGCTCAGGTCCAGCAGTAATATTCAGACGAATGCAATAGTTGGATTGTACCAGTTGTTCAAATACTAAAGGACCTCTGTGTCAGCTGGTAATCAGCCACTGCTCCAAGACCCTCAAGGACTCCCTCCCCCATTATCCTGATCCCTGGAGGGTAGGCTCAGTGGAATAATCATCTGCATGTTTTATGGGAGGCAGTCTAGTATAGAGCAGAGCTAAGAGTACAGGCTCTACCTGGGTTCACATCCGGGCTCCTTGTGTAATAGCTATGTGACACTGGGCACATTATTTAAACCCTTTATCTCTTCCTATTTCTCTTCTGTAAAGGGGAAATAATGCTATATACATCACAGGGCTGTGAGAATTAAATTAGTTAATGTATGTAAAATGCTTAGCACAGTGTCCAGCTCATGATAAACTCCATACCATATTTACTATTAATAATAATAGTATGAGCAACAAATTAGTACTTATTAGACTGATACATGCATACACACAAAGCCGTAGTACACATACGGCAAGGATATGAACAAAAACTATACCAAACTACTGGAATGCTTGCCTCTGCAGAGAATAGTGATCAAAGGGAATAAATACATAAAAACACTGATCACTGAGTTCCATTCCCAGATATTCTGATTCTGTTTTGGTCAGGAATAGGGCTTTACTGGCATGTGCCCTGGAAATCTCTATTCTTCCAAAAGCAGCCCAGCAGACGGTGATTCACGAATGGGCTTGGGACACCCGGAGTAGTAAAAGGAGCATGTTCCTTGTGGTTCCAACACACTTAGGTCCACATTCTAGCCCTGACCCTCATTATAGTTTGTTGGACAAGTTATTTAATCCTCTGATCCTCTGTTTCCCCTTTGGTAAAAACAAACAAACAAGCAAAAAAAACAGAGACACTACTACTATATTAGTTAGGACTTCTCAGTTTACAGCCATGAGAACTAAAACTCAAATTCACTTGAACAACAACAAAAAAGGAAATTTATTGGTGACCAAAAGCAAACCACAGAATAGTGGCTGTGTGACTGTGGTGCTAGCCCAGGGGCATTTGGCTTCAGGTACTCTGGCTTTCCAGGAGAGTATTTGTGTCTGAATGCCTGTTTCTCTCCACATCCCCCCTGCCTCCACCATGACCCATCCCTACTTGTTCCTGTTTGGTTTTATCCTCTCCTACAAAGGACAGGCTATTTCCATGTGGCAGAGATCATGACCATAAAGGCCTAAGATTCTGATTCTTCCAGATCCATAACCTAGTATGCAAGATGGGGTTATCGCTGTCCGCTTCAGTGGAAATATCCAGGGAAGGGCCCTCATTGACTGGGCTTTGCTCCTCATGGTTGGGACCAGGGACGTCCTGGCACCAGATGTGTGTGGCAGGAGTTTGCATAGAGATGGAGGATGGGAAGAATGCTGAGCAGTCCAAGATTATCACTGCCAGAGCCCCCTCATTCCGGTGTAAAAACATGTGTGGCACTCACCTGCAGATCGTGGACACTCAAATATTAGTCCCCTTCCTTTTCCTCTCTTCCTGATTTGAATGCAGGAAAGGATTTTTAACTACCATGATCTAAAATACTATTCTTATTTCCACCTCCTGGATCTGTGGAACAAAGACACACAGCTACTGCTGCATGGATTTCCTACACTTGCTCATTCCCTCATGTAACTGAGGAAAAGAACAACTCACCAAATTTAGTGATCTGAAGATCTAATTTTCTGGCTTAATTTATCTATACTTAATAAACCACTTTTTAAAACTATGAATATAGTAGTAGAATCAAAGAAATGCTTGGGATTTTTTTTTTACTCATTAGTTTTAATAAATCTTTCAGAGTTAATGTTGTATTGTATTATATAATGTTGATTTAATAGAAGGAACCTTGAAGATCTGGGTATAATTCAGTTCATCCTAGACAGGCCACTTGACTTCTTAGAATCTTATTTTTCTCATTTATTAAAAAAAAGATGCTAATAGCATCTGTACTGCCCACCTTATACGGTTGTTGTGAGGACCAGTATTAGGTCATGTATGTAAAATCACTTTCTAAAATGAAAAGGCATAAAATGAGAATTAACAGAAGACTTTTCTCCTTTTAAATAAGCTGTTTACACTAAAAATAGAACTACAATTTGACCCAGCAATTCCATTACTAGATATACACCCACAGAAAAAGAAATTGTTCTATCAAAAAGACACATACACTCACATGTTCACTGCAGTAATGTTCATGATAGCAAAGACACGGAATCAACCTAGGTGCCCATCAATGATGGATTGGATTTTTAAAATGTAGTACGTGTACACCATGAAATACTATGTAGCCATAAAAAAGAATGAAATCATGTTCTTTGCACCAACATGGATGCAGCTGCAAGCCATTATTCTAAGAAGATTAATGACAGAAAACCCAAAATCACATGTTCTCACTTCAGTAGGAGCTAAATCTTGGACACTCATGGGCATAAAGAGGGGAACAAGAGATGCCGGGGACTCTGAAAGGAGGGAGGAAGGGAGGAGGCAGGCTGAAAAATGTCCTATCGCATACTATGTTCACTATTTGGGCAGCATGATCATGCATTATACCCTTGTAACAAACCTGCAGTAAATCTAAAAGAAAAATTGAAATTAAAATAAAAATAAATAAATAAGCTCTTTGAAAAGCAAAGAAAAAAAGTTTCCAAGTTGGTTTCTGTTGTCATACATTCTGATATTACTTCAAATGTGTTTGAATAAAATGTCCATGTGGCATAATTTAAGCTTTCTCTCTAACAGAAGCAGAATCTTATGAGCCCGTGAAAATTCCAACCCAGTCCTTGCTGCAGGATGTTGCGGGACAAACAAGAAAAGAAAAAGTGAAGTTGCCTCATTATTTGCTGAGTTCCAAGCCTAAGTCTCAACCTCTTGCAAAGGTAAAACAAACATTGGAACAAATTCCCCACAGCCAATCAGCATTTGATGGAATTCTTTATTTTTTATTTTTTTCAATCCTGCTCCTTTTGTAGATTTTATGTAATTCTGATTCATTGAAGTTATTAGTTTCCGGCCACTGTGTACTGCTATTGACCGTATCTACCATCTCACCATGAAGCTCTTTAAACTTACATCTCACACATGTAAACTCAGATGGTGCTTTGGTGGAGCTGGCTCATACAGGCTGCTGGGAGAAATTTTATGAGCCAGTTATCAAACCACTGATAGCTTGAAATCAGCCATGCTGGGAGTACTAGCACCACAAAATTGATAAACACTAGAAATCAGAATTGTTTTCAGAGAGCCAGTTTACCAGCATACTACTACTGGCTAAAGGAATCATTGGCCACCGTTGCCATGACTCTTAGGATAAAATCCAAATGACTTAGCATGAGGATAAGGCCCCATTTGCTTCTTCACCCTCACCCTGAGTCAAACTCACTATAATTCAGCCATTGTAGATTTCTCTTCATTCTTTAAAAATACCAAGGTCCTTTCTTGCTCAGAGCCCCTAAGATTAAGATTCCATCCAGTTCTGTTGGGAAACCTTCTGGAGTCCACCAGTTTTGATAATTATCTTTTTTTTTCTTCCATGGCATACTGTGTTCATCTTCATCACAAAATTTATTGTAATATACATATATATATAACTGACAATATATAAATTACAGTACGTCTCAAATTTTAATGTGCATATGAATTACCTCGGGATCTTGTTAAAATACAGATTCTGACTCACTAGATCTGGTGTAGGGCATGAGATTCTGCAGTTCTAACAAACTCTGAGATGATGTCAGCACTGCTGATGTGAGGAATAATAAGGGCACAGACCAATGTTTCTCAAAGTGTGGTTGCCTGACCAGCAGCATTGCCAACACTAAGAACTTGTTATAAATGCAAATTCTTGGGCCCTGCCCCCGACCAACAGAATGAAAAACTCTGGGGGTAAAGTCAGCAATCTGTGTATTTATGAGTCCTCCAGGAGATTCTGATGGAAGCTAACGTTTGATGACCACTGGCACAGATGAAAGAGCACAGACTCTAGAATCAGGCAAACTTGAGTCTGAATCTTTGCTATGCCACTTACCACTTGAACAATTATCCATCTTTCAGTTCTCTGAACTTGACTTCCTTATCCTTAAAACAAAGCCTAAAATACGTCCTCACAGGACTGTTGTAAGGATGACATGAGACTGTAAACATTCATTTCCTCCAGCAACCCAACAGTTATTTTCCTCTGGTGACAGGGACTTTTTTTTTTTTAATCTTGGGAACTCAAAATAGAACCATTTTATTAATTTTTTCTTAATGCAAAGGTGCAAGATTCTGTTGGAGGAAAAGTGAACACATCCTCTGTTGCATCTGCTGCCATTAATAATGCAAAGTCATCCCTTTTTGGGTTCCATCTTCTCCCATCATCAGTCAAGTTTGGAGTGCTTAAGGAAGGACATACCTATGCCACAGTTGTAAAGCTCAAGAATGTTGGAGTGGACTTCTGCAGGTGAGGCCAAGGGACCAAAGGTCTGCTCAGGTTACCTTTCCCTACCCTGTGACTTGTCTTTGGTCACCTCCATCAATAAATGTTTATTGAACCGAACTGTAATTACTCCTTGAATCTTCACATTATTCATTCAGTCATTTACACACTAACTCATTCATTCATTCATCAACAAATCAGTGAGTGTTTATCGGGTTCCAATTATATGGTAGATACTTCCTTGCCCTCCTAGTCATCATTATTCATACTTTGGTAAAAGCAACTCACATCCTGATTTCTACTAGTGGAAAAAAAGGGGGAGGTTGTACAAAAGTGTTACAGCAACTAATGCACAATAATTGAAAGTCTTTTTCTCAAATCCACTAACTATAATAATACTAGCTGATGTTTGTTTGCACATTATGATCTGAAAGGTGCTTTTAATTACATTGTTTCTGCATAATGGAGGGAAAGACCTTAGAGACTACTATAAAAGGAGAAACTGTGTAACTTGTTGTAACATCTTGTCAGCTAGCAGAGGCCAGACTTCAGATCTCCTGAGTCCCACCATATACTTTGCTTTACTAATGCTTTGTTTTGTGTGAAATTTCAAACCTTTCCATTGGATCGGTAAACCATATACCTCTACCAAACCATTCCCAATTACAAAATGTCCACTATTGTATCTTGAATTAAACATAAGCATGGGTATTACTTCCATTAAAATGGAATATATGTTTATTTCAGTTGCAGCCATTTTCAGAGTTGAGTGGTAAGTCCTTCAAGAATGTTTGTGATTCTGGATTGATGATTGGAAATCAGATAAAAAAAAAACGATAGAAGCATCCAGTTTGAAAGATCCCTGTCCCATTTCAGTTATTTCAGTTGAGGCAAATCCCCAGCTTCAGGAATAACCTTTGCTTCCTGAGAAACAATCTGATGTGGAACTCAGGCCACCAAATCACACGATTGTTTTTTAGGTTGTTGCCAACAAAGTGGGTGGGAAGAAATAGACAGTCAACCTCGAACTAATAAAACTCATTCGTGCGGGTCCTGTCGCTCCAGTATAAAATTTTAGTTTTGGAGATTTCACTCCTCAGCTTGTTAATTCAGCCACGATAGAGCAGACAGCAAGGTTGATGGAGGAAGAAGCAGTGTTGGGGTCAGAGTGGAGGCAGGCTTTCCTTGGCATTTTAATTTACTCCAGGTCTTTAACCTTCAAGCAGACCCCACAAACCACAGGAAGGGAGAGAGATCAATAAGCACCATGTGTGAGCTCGGAGCTTTTCAAGTTCTTCGACATCTTCTGAGCCTTTCTGTTTCTCCTCTCCTCAAACATGCAAACCCCATACCAAGACAGAGCAAGGCTGGCTCCCATGCTCCACTGCCTTCCAAAAGAGCCTTTATTCTTCAACTTAATGACCCGGCTGCCAGCATTTGCGTTCATGCTGGCAGCTACGCTGAAATGCACGCACCAGCCAAACAGTCCCACTGCCCAAGCCTGGGCTGCTCGTCAGCAACCAGTAACAAAGGGTTGAAACTCAGGTTGGAGCCCGTTTTACGCTGATGAAAACTGTTGGAAAGGCAGTTGTGAAATGGGCCCCAGATTCTTCTCCCAATTGAATATTAAAGTTGTTTTTCTAATGGTATGGACCCCCGGCTCCTGTGTAGCAAATATTAACACCTTCCTTATTTTATAACATCCCAGCTTATTCATTGCTCATGGGTTTCATTATGTCATAAATTTATTTTTATCTTTCTGCCTTGTAGGTTTAAAGTAAAGCAGCCCCCACCCAGCACAGGACTGAAAGTGACTTACAAACCTGGACCTGTAAGTCCTATATGTCATCTGTTGTGTGTGCTTGCGTGCATGCAAGTGACTATGTATAGGTTTCCAGTGAAGTGGGCTTTGAAACCATTCTGCCCATTCCTTTTAAACTATGTATAAGTCTACTGTTTTTAATATCATAAGCAAAAGATTTCTCGTAGTGATACAGTATGTGGCTTGATGGCATTCATTCCATGTAGTAACCATGAGACCAATCCAATGCATAAACAGAGTTAAACTGCCAGCTATAGAAACAATTCTGAAGCTCACCTCACTTGTCCCAATATTACAGTTATTTACCATTGTATAAAAACTACCTTTTCAAAAAGTAAATCCTTATGCGAAGTGAAAAATAATTATTCCGTTCTTCATATTTTACGTAAATCTGGTTTGCTCTCTTGGTATTTGTCAGAGAATATTATTTAATGCCATACTAAGAAATCATATTTGTTTATTTATATTTATTTATTTATTTATTTTGAGACAGAGCCTCACTCTGTCACCCAGGTCAGAGTGCAATGGCATGATCTCAGCTCACTGCAACCTCTGCCTCCTGGGTGCAAGCACTTCTCCTGCCTCAGCCTCCTGAGTAGCTGGGATTACAGGCGCATGCCACCACGTCCGGCTAATTTTTGTATTTTTAGTAGAGACAGGGTTTCACCATGCTAGTCAGGCTGGTCTCGAACTCTTGGCCTCTCTATCCACCCGCCTTGGCCTCTCAAAGTGCTGGGATTACATGCATGAGCCACTGCGCCCAACCAAGAAATCGTATTTATTAAACTCATCAATTGCCTCATTTCTCCAAAGATCTCTGAAAATACAAAATACAAAATGTCAACCTGTTCTGACTTTATTTGATACATCCTCCAAAATGGCATGTTTAGTAAAAAAAAATGCATATTAATAGCATATTCTCACTTTAAATTATAATTTCAGAAATATAGGATGATGTAAACGTAAGTTCATCTTAAATAAAGTCACATTTGTCTTTATCAGTGCATCATCTGACTGCTTTAACACCCCTTTTACTTCATACTTCACTCAGCAAATTTTGAGTTCCTCCCATATGCCATTTAAAGTGGTCAGGGCGCAGAGGATGTTAAAAATGAGTAAGACACGTAAGCAGCTTACAGAGCCAGGCACATAGTGGGTACTCAAGAGAGGTGTGATTGAATGACAGAATGAAGTGAGTTAGTCTGGCAGATGTATGACCCATTCATCACAGATGCGAAGAGTGCATAGGCCTGTGAGAACAGTGCACAAAAGTATCCAGTCCTGTTAACAAGCACCCAATGCTCCCTGAGTCTGAAGCTCTTAAAGCAGCCCCAGTTATAGGCTCACACAGAAGGGTTGGTTTGGTGTAGCACCAAGTCAGTTGGCTTCTTGTCACGACTATGCCATCAAGCAGTTCAGTTAATGCTCTGAGCCTTGTTTTCCTCATCTGTAAAGTTCAGACCAGATTATTTCTTAGCCCCTTCTAGCTGTAATATGCTCTATAGAAAACAGTATTATACAGGCTGAAACTCCAAACAGAAACATTTTGGGATTATATCCACTAATTCATGAGTACTCTCCTGAAGTAATTCATCACTGTACTGTGTCAAGATTTCAGAACCTTCACAACATAAAGCAAAAGACAAAAATCAAAACAAGCCCTTCTTCCACTGTTCTGGGAAGTTAGCAAATCTCATTTTAATTTAAAGTAGGGATTATGCCAAAAGCCAAAATGGCTGTTGGATCAACTTTTATAGGTACTAAAAACCCAGCACGTAGTCTTTGAAGCTCACTCTATACCATAAGGTTTTTTTAGTTTATTTTTTTAAGTTTTTGATAGTAGGTTTTGGCTCTGGCAAAAAAAATATAATCTGTAGACTTCCCCATATGTAAATCTAACCACCGTTCAGCTTGGTTAGTTGCCAACACTAAATGAATCTGCTCAAAGCCTGGGCAAACCTGTATGATGGCAGTATTCCAGCTCTCTTCATGCTGAATTTCATCATTACCCAGCCCTGCTCCAACTGCTGGACTTGGAGGAGAAGGGTCTGCTGCTGGATATCCTCCAGTATGCATATGCTCACAAGTACATTGTTGAAAAAACTGTGAAACATTTTCCAATTCTACTATTTATAAAACTATATTGAAGAAAACATTCCATTTGTATCTAATTGCTTTTCATGTGGTAGTTTCAGATTTATTTTTTTCTAGATAACTGTTCCCAAGTCTGCTTTTTAACCCACCTCCTGGAGAGGCAACTTAGAAACATAAATAGCTCTCTCTTTGCTGGCTAGTGTTCTTTTCAAAGAACAAGGCAAGACGCCCATGCCTTGCTGTGTTCCTTCTTCCTTCTGTATCAGGTTTCTTCTTTGTTGGTGCAATCCTCTTCCACGGGTTTTCAAACTAAGCAGTTGGGCATTTAAACTAATTTTATCTCCCTCTACTGGTTTCATTATTTTATGCATCCTGCATTAGGAATACCCTAAAGTCACATTTGTCCAACCCATGGCCCAGGACGGCTTTGAATGCAGCCCAACACAAATTCCTAAACTTTCTTAAAACATGATGAGATTTTTTTGCGATTTTTTTTTAAACTCATCACCTGTCGTTATTGTTAGTATATTTTGTGTGTGGCCCAAGACAATACTTCTTCTTCTAATGTGGCCCAGGGAAGCCAAAATATTGGACACCCCTGCAAGGAACAGGGTAGGAAAGTTATGGTAGTCACCAAGTCTGTTAGATGAATTTTTTTTTTTTTTTTTTTTTTTGAGATGGAGTTTTGCCCTGTCACCAGACTGGAGTGCAGTGGCGCGATCTCGGCTCACTGAAACCTCTGCCTCCTGGGTTCAAGCAATTCTCCTGCGTTCAAGCAATTCTCCTGCCTCAGCCTCCTGATTTATATTTATATTAGATTAAATTTATCTTTGTCTGCAGTAGCCGCTATTGCAGATTTCACTACTGAAAGTCACTACCGACATTCAAAAACTAGCACAATTAGGAGTATTGCAAAATTTTGCCTTCAGTTCCACTTCCAATAACCTGGCATTTAGCTTCCTTATGCTTTTTCCTAAATAGCACCTGGTTTGCCCCTTCAACAATTTACCCTGGCTCCCCTTTACTTAATGGAATTCTACCTTCATTATGAAGTAATTCCGCTAAATGCTTATAATAACTACCATTTGTTAGTGCCAAATTTATAGATGAAGAAACCAAAGGTAAGAGAGTTTAAGTAACTTGCTCAAATTCATATTATTAAAAGCAAGGTTTGAACTCAGAGTTGTCTGGTCCTAAAGCTACCTTGTGTCTTATAGGTGGCAGCTGGTATGCAGACAGAACTGAATATAGAGTTATTTGCCACAGCTGTTGGAGAGGATGGGGCCAAGGGATCAGCACACATCTCTCACAATATCGAGATTATGACAGAGCATGAGGTTCTGTTCCTACCTGTGGAAGCAAATATCCTTTAAAGTTCAACTTGAGTAATCATATATAGTGCAGAAATTACACGAGTGAGGAAAACATGGAAGTCAAAATGCATCTCTACTTTATTAATTCTATCTTCAAAATCAGAGTTAAATTTATTAAGACAAAGAGCATCTTCATTCATCTTTGAAAGCACCTAGCCAAATCTAAAAAAATACCTGACACATAGTATATGTGCAGTAACTTCAGATTGAATAAATGTAAATGTTATTGGCTATCTACGGAATATCAGACAGAATAATAAAACAGCAAGTATCTATCACAAAAAAATTATAATTTTATGGAAGGATAGGAAATACCTTATTATTATAAAGGTTGGGTATTCACTGAATTATGCATGCATTCCTCCTTATCAGTGTCTTCAGCCAAACAGATATTAGATAGATATCAAGAACCTATTACCTCCAAGGTACTGTATAAAATAGTTTATCATATATAAAAATGGATAATTGGACTCTGTCTTAAAAGGTATTATATAATTTGTAGCAGAAATAAAGTCTTCACATTTTATTTCTATTTTGTACTTTCTCCAGTGGCATGAATTGTGTGCTGCTTGTGTTACAGTTCTCTATTTATTTGATTTTTGAGCTGGATCTTATAGAATGTGAAAACTTGATTGACGGGAACTTTAAGTAAAAATAATGAACAAAACCATGGCAACAGGAAAGCTCCAGGTGTTTGGGATGATTGGCAGGGAGTTCAACTTGCCAAAAGCTTGAGTATTAGGAATATAGTGGGAAAGTAGGTTGGAGTCAAGTTATGAAAGATCTTAAATCCTTGGCTTGAATTTTATTATTTAAGCAGCAGTGAACCACTGCAGATTCCTGACCCTGTGGGTGACATGATCAGCATATCTTTATTAAGATGAATCCAGGGTTATTGTGCAGGACATGTCAAAGGGGAACAACTGGATGTGTAAAAGTACCATTAGAAGTCTACCTGAATGGGCCATGTGTGAGGACAAGAACTGGGAGTGGGGGAACAGTCAACATAAAAGAGGGACATGAATGAAAGACATGGTGGGGGAAGGAAACTGCAAAATCTGAGGTAGAAGCCATTGATGGATGGAAGAAAGAGGACATCGAGTTCAACTTCAAAGTTTTGGGCTGAGGTAATGAATCATGTATATGTAATATTAGATCTCAACTGAGAAGTCAGAATTGGAGATATAATAATTTTAAGCATCGTTTACACAGAGGTGATGGCTGAATGTATGGGCAAGGAACAGAAATCTGGAGTCGGTTTAGGGAGCAGGAGGAAGAAGAGCCAGTGGAGACAAAAGCAGCAATTAGAAAATGGTGAAATACTTCAAAAGCCTTAGGAAGAATTTCAAGGAAAAGACGGACACAATTGACGGATGCTATTGAGATGTCAAAGAAAATTCAGATTTAAAGTGTTAAATTTGGTTGGGATAAAAACTAAATTGCAAAAGGTAAAGAATGACTGTATTAAGAAAGCAGAAACATTAGTTATGGATATTCTTTCAAGAAAATTTATTAAAGGAAAGAGCAAGAGAATATGTTACTCAAGGATGCAACAGAATATAGGAAGGATTTTCAGTTTAATGTAGACCTACATGTTTGTAGGCTGAAGAGAGTGGAGCAGAAGATATATATTAAAAATATGAATGAGTAGAAGTGATTGAAACTGCAATATCCAAAACAGGGCAAAAGAATAATAAAAAACAGAGCTGAAGGGTTAGTCTTGGCAAGGGAGAAGCTGAAGATAGCTGATGATTCAGATATTCCGAGGTGAAGGAGAAAGTTAAAGGAACTTGTGTCAGATAGCACTGATGTCAATAAATGAAGTTTAGTTCATTTGTTCATTTATGCTTTCAAAGATGCCGAAACGCCTGCCTTTATGTAGCTTACATTCCAGTGGGAGGACAGACAATACATAAAGTAAGTAAACCATAAACAATGATGGCAGTAAGTACAATGGAGCAAAATATAAAATAGGAAAGGAAAGTCCTCACTGGGAAAGTCTCTCTCCCTTCCTCTCACCTTCCTCCCCTCCCTTTTTCTCTTCCTTTGAGTAATGACAGGGTTTTTCCATTGTGACAGAAGGAAACTAGCCAAAGAACTAGTTTTTTCCTCTGGTAACTAAATCAAGTGCCCTTACCCTCTCCACACAGGTTATTAGATGCAAATACCTGAGTCACTGCTGCTGATCATAGCAATGAAATCATTTGTATTTATAATAAATTTTCTATTTCCCTGCTTATAGATTAGAGAGAACCTGTCAGACACAGATAAAGGGCAAAAAATCTTATCAGATCTTTTATCTACTTACTTACAGTGTCAACAATGATCTGTCCCTCTCCCCACCAAAAAAAAAAAAAAAAAGCATGAAATCTGATGTAGATATGGTTTGGGGCTTGACCATACTGATGGCTCCTTATAGAAAGCCAGTCACAGTTAGGAGAGAAATGTACACTAGGGAGAACAGAAGACATTCTAGACATTGGCATATCCATCCTCTAACCCCCAAGCCTGAGCATGCAGAATTTGCATTGGATAGACAGTTACCTAAAATTGAACTGATGTTGCCAGAGAAGAAATTCTATGATTCTAAAATGTTATTTAGGTTTATATATGCAAATAATTTAGTCATGAAAAGCACAGCCCTTAACAAGTATTTTACCTGTTTTAACAAGCAGCAATTATGATAAACGACCAAAAGACTTTCCCCAGGGAAAAGAAAATCCAATGGTCCAGAGAACTTCTACAATTTATTCCTCCACACTTGGAGTCTTCATGTCTCGTAAAGTTTCTCCACATTAGGTACAGTAAGTAATAAATGGGAATTTGATTGTCAAGCATTCAAATTTGAGGTATTAGACCCCAGGTTTCTTCCCCTCTTCTTATAGTCAGAAACCTATAAGCCACCTGGCCTGAATGAATGAAAATATTTGTTTAGGCCGGGCCCGGTGGCTCACACCTGTAATCCCAGCACTTTGGGAGGCCGAGGTGGGTGGATCACAAGGTCAGGAGATCGAGACCATCCTGGCTAACTTGGTGAAACCCCGTCTCTACTAAACAATAGAAAAAATCAGCCAAGTGTGGTGGCGGGTGCCTGTAGTCCCAGCTACTCTGGAGGCTGAGGCAGGAGAATGGCGTGAACCCAGGAAGCGGAGCTTGCAGTGAGCCAAGATCGTGCCACTGCACTCCAGCCTGGGAGACAGAGCGAGACTCTGTCTCAAAAAAAAAAAAAAAGAAAATATTTGTTTAAATAACTATACTAGTTGCTTCTTTATATATATTATAAAATGTAATGCTCATGCAAGGTAGAATTCAGTGCTTTATACCCTAATCTTGGAAGACACATCCCATTATATTTACTGTATTCTGTTCACTAGAAGCCAGTCACTAGGTCCGACCCCATACTCAAGGGGAAGGGATACACAAGGGCAACACTGCCAGGCCCTATGTAAGAGTTGGGCTCAGTGACTGTTACACAATGTGTACTGTGTTCTAAAAACATACCAGGGCTGCTTGGATCCCAAAAACCTCAGAAATAAAGAGAAAGGACTTGAATATATGGTGATACTACCTTTAAGAACCTTAGCCCCATCTCAAACTTAGGAGCTTAAATTGTGAGGAATGGGGGTGGATTGCAGACAGTAACTGTAAGCCAATGTGGTTTCTTCATTAAGCTTCTGCTCACAACCTCCCTCTCTTTCTGAAGACTAATCTGGCCTGAAAAGGCTGCATTGAGCAGGCTCATCATTTACAGCTAAGTGAATAGAGTCCTATATACAGTCCTGTACCTACCAACAGATACCATTGCTTTCCTGGGCACTGTCCTAGATCTCTGCTGGAGATTTGCTAGATATCTTTAGAATGAGATATAATTTATGACATTTGCCATTGAGAAACAATTTAATACCAAATATACAAAGCACCTAGCTTCCAGCCAGTGAATTTCAAAATTTTTAAGCATATTTTCTCTAAGTGGATGGATATATACATTTTTAAAAATAAGCCTAAATGTTTTACTCCCAATACATCATTCAAGAGCCTTTTTTTTTTTTTTCAATGGAGTCTGGCTCTGTTGCCCAGACTGGAGTGCAGTGGCACAATCTCAGCTCACTGCAATCTCAAAAGGCTTTTCTTTATGGTACTACAGAATTTCTATAGGTAACTTACTTCACAATATGCAAGAGATATTAGTCATTAGATGGTTTTTATATTAAGGATTATATACAGCCAATGGCTGACTAAGGCAATGAATACTGACTTAATGACTAGAAATTTGCCTGGCTTAAAATTTACTTTATAATGCACCTATTGACCTTAAACTTTTAGAGTTAAAGAGTTTCAAGTATTTTGACCAAAAATTGTAACTTGGCTAGGTTCTGTACATGTCACTTTATCATAAAAGTTCTCCTTCTCTTCGATTAGTATAACACTTAGCAGACAGAAACATCTTTACATTCCCTAGCACTATCAGGCTTTTGAGTTATAAATGGTGGCAAAGCTACGGGAAAACAGCAACTTTTAACATAAGAGTAATTATTGATGATGTATACATCTCGAATGCCCTCCTGGAACTTGTTTTGGTTTGGAAACCATCAAAAATGTTACTAGAAAGTGACATTTATGTTCTGATGAGCAACTCTAAGAAGGATATTGAATCAACTTCTGTTCTCATAAAAAATTAAATTTTTTTTCAAGAATTAACTCCTCTCCCTGGTGGCAGGAATAGCTGCCTAAACAACACTGACTCCTTGGAAAGCACCTAGAATGCATTATCCTGCCTGCCTATTCTCTTGCCTTCATAGTTATGCCTTCAGAAACTCTATGCCAAAATTCACTTATTTATTCTGCCCAACAAATAACACCACTGCATCCCTTACTCACTTCAGTGATTGTGTTATGCTCAAGAACATTAAGACTTGTGGTTTGGGACACAAATCGGCAAGCCACAAGGACTGCATATCTGAGCCTAGAAGAAAATGGTGGCCCCACAACACAGTAACTTGGTTGCAATGACCAAATTCAGACAGAAACCATAGTTTTAAATCTTTGGGATTAACAACAACAAAAAAGATAAAAAGCAAAACTGTCTCAAGAAGATACAGAACATCTAAACAGGCCTGTAACAAGAAGTATGATTTAGTCATTTATAAACTTCCCCAAAAGAAAAGCCCAGACCCAGAGGTATCTGTCAATATCTTTTCCTAGAACATTCCCCAAATCCTTACCATGAAGATATACAGTAGACAATCCGTTGAACATGGGTTTTAACCACTTGGCTCCACTGTTATACAGATTTTTTTTTACTATTATTATTTTGGAGATGGAGTCTCACTGTGTTGCCCAGGCTGGAATGCTGGTGGCACTGTCTTGGCTAACTGCAATCTCCGCCTGCCGGGTTCAAGTGATTCTCCTGTCTCAGCCTCCTGAGTAGCTGGGATTACAAGCGCCTGCCACCACGCCCAGCTAGTTTTTTGTATTTTTAGTAGAGATGAGGTTTCACCATGTTGGCCAGGCTGGTCTGGAACTCCTGACCTTGTGATCCGCCTGCCTCGGCCTCCCACAGTGGTGGGATTACAGGCGTGAGCCACTGCACGCAGCCCAGATATTTTCAATAAATATATTGGAAAAATTTTTGGAGATCTGAAACAATGAGAAAAGTTTCAGATGAAAAAAATTAGGAAAAAAGTAGTTATATCATGAATGCACAAAATATATGTAGATACTAGACTATTTTATCATTTACTGCCATAAAATACACGCAAATCTATTATCAACATTAACACACACAAATACAGATCATACATGGTGCAATTCACAGTTTTGGGAGAAATGTAAAATAATGTAAAGATGCAGTATTAAATCATAGCTGCATAAAATGAACTGTAATACACAGTATGTTACTGAAATAATTTCACAGCCACCTCCTGTTGCTATGCAGTGAGCTCAAGTGTTGTGCGTATGCACTTAAAATGCTGTGACACTAATCACCTGTGCATGAACAACTCATCGCCCCAGTAAACTGCATATCACAGTGCTCCCAAAAAGCAGAGAAAAGTCATGACATTACAAGAAAAAGCTGATGCTTGATAAGTACCACAGATTGAGGTCTGCGGCTGTGGTTGCCTGCCAATCCAGACAGACAATTCATTTTATAAACAGATGACATACACTTATAGTATTGATAAACACAGTAAATATATTTTCTCTTCCTTATGATTTTCTAAGTAACATTTTCTTTTCTCTAGCTTACTTTAAGAATACAGTATACAATATATATAATACATCAGTCAGGCTCCCAGTCAATAACAGGCTACTAGTACTTAAGACTTTGGGGAATCAAAAGTTATATGCAGATTTTTGACTGTGCGGGGCGTAGGGGTGGGTCAGTGCCCCTACCACCTGCATTTTTCAAGTGTCAACTATATATATGTATGTGTACATACACATACACATACACACACACACACACACACACACACACACACACACACGAGTGTATTAATTCCTCAGAAGCCCAGCCAGGCATCTTAGCTTGGCTACTTTTTAATTAGAAACAACTATTTTATTCAGAAAAGTATAAACAGTTAGCAATTAGAATCTTCTTATATACAGACATAACTTGCAGAAGGTTAAGTCTGAGGACGCTGTTCTGGGTAATTTTTACAGTCCTTTTTAGCTCTAAGATCCATGACACTGCATTTTTATGGCCAAAGGGCAATCAATTATGCACCTGGTTGTCTCAATAGGCAGTAAAACCTAATATAAATAAATGACAAATCATCTGCCATAAAAAAATACGAAAAACTTTTGAAATGTTAATTTCAACTCCAATGAAACAAATACCTAATTAAAACAATTATTTATTCCCTGCTAGAATATAAAGGGAACAACAAGCTTGAGCTGCAAGGCTCAAGCTTTGAGAGCACAGAAAGATTTTTAAACTAATAATGCATTTTAAGTCCAAGAAATGGAGCCAGCCCATAATCTCATGTTGGAATTCCCTCAGGCAAAGCTGGAAACCACATCCTGATATCATCTGCAATGCGATCTTCTGTTATTTGGTATTTTTAAGATGACGCCAACTCTTCTGTGCTTAGTTTAGGAGTCCTTTAAAGGAAAAAGTTGAAAAAAAAAAAGATACCACATTTCAGTTCTAAGTCAACGTTAGAATCAACTTCTCCCTCTTTTTCCTCTTCCTCTTCTTCTCTTCCAAGTGGCTAGTAGCATCAGCAAAAAACATAACTTCACTTTTTGCCTCGCATTCCCTCTTGAGATAATCAAGACCAGCCATATTGAAGCCGATAACATCCTGGAGTGCAATACAAGAAATATTAAAAAATTTTCTCCCACTTCAATTCATTATAGCAGCGTATGAGAGTTAGGGTAACCAAAGCTTCAGGTGTTGTTACTTATCTTTCCCTCATTAAGAACTTTTCTTGTTTGTTTTTTCTATTCCTACTAATTCTAACAAAAACTATCTCAAATATGGATTTATCGGTGGTGGGTATTGCTAAAGACAAAGCACAGCATACTATACTATTTCTAAATCACACTAGGAATTTGCCTCATTATTTTATCTCTATACAAAGACACTTACCCGGACTTGGCTGACTTTTGAAATAGTTGTTTCCCTTAATTTTTCTATCACTGGCACAAGCATTTGATTGCTAGTGATCTGTCCAAAGTGAATCCTGATAGAAAAACAAAACACAGCCATGTTGCAGAGAGGTTCTAGCCCTACTTAACCCTTCTAGAAACAGTAAACAGACACAATATCAAAGCAACAACAAAATATACATTATAGAAATGTTTCGAGCAAAAAAAAAAAAAAAAGCCAAAGAAGTTTCTTTCTCTACTATTCAGTTCAATTTGATGACAACTTAAAAAATACTGTCCTAAACCTTATGACACATTCAACTCATTTGCAAAGGCTCTTCTTCCAGCCCAGCAACCTGCCAGTGGCTACAGATTTTGACAGTGGTACTTTAAGGAAAACTCAAAGACAGAATGAGCCTTCTAAGAAATGCTAACTTAACAAAGATGCATTAATACTTCTAATAAAGCCACAGCAAAAAAGAGACATTCGTGAGATTCAAACTCTGACCTAGAGTACCAAGATATCCTTGATGACCCTACCATACCTGTCAGGTAGTACCCATCCATAAGCCTCTGATACGCTATAAGTATTCACAGTGTTACTCGTAGAACCAGCAACCCTAATTCAATAGCACGTATACCATAGCAGTAAAAAAAAATTGTTAGTAACATGGTTAAATATGAACTTATGTCTTTACAAGTTGCCCCAAATTATGAATATGGCAACAGAACATATTATTCTTCTTCTCTTGCTACTATCCTGGATAGAGTATAAGAAATGGAGGGTTAAGAATCATAAAACCAGGCCAATTCACCAAATACCTATTTGGTCAGTTCACTACATATACCTGTTTAACTATTTGGCATTGGCTGACCAGTTTTTGTCTTCATAACAGTATTTGAAGGAATGTTCAATTTGTCTCCATCCCTGTTCTCTGCTGTAACCGCTTGAGAATGAGGGTGAGAGATGAGAAGAATATCAAGCCTTTGTGCATATATTCTTCTCAACTACCTATTAACAGAATCTTCATAAGTAAGAATATAGCCTAATGAACATATTTGCTTTATGTTCCTTAGTTTACCTCTATATATGCCCCTACATTTCCATTTGCACCTGTAGAGACCAAGAGAAATAAACTGACTTTCTTAAAATGTTGGTAAAGGACAAAGCAAAACCTGTTAGCTTACACTAAACACTTTAAAACAGGAATGTCCATCCTTTTGGCTCCCCTGGGCCACACTGGAAGAACCGTCTCGGGCCACACATAAAATACACTAATGATAGCTGATGAACAACAACAACAAAGAAATCACAAAAAAATCATAATGTTTTAATAAAGTTTACAAATTTGTGTTGGGCCACATTCAAAGCCATACTGGGCCACATGTGGCCTGCGGGCCACAGGCTGGACAAGGTTGGCTTAAAAGAAACAACAAATGAGGCAAACTGGCCAATCATAATTGGCTTTTGGCAAACTGACTAGAACCAGAGCTATCTTAAGATTGTAACATGGAGGCCTATGACTGAGTAAGCATTCCTGAGCAATGTATTACCATGACTTCTTACTTAAAGAGGTGGGTCATCATGATCCTTGTTTTAAAGGCAAGACTGATTGCTTGGGCTGGTAGCAAACTTCTGGGCTCAAGCAATCCACCCACCTCAGCCTCCCAAAGTGCTGGGATTACGGGTGTGAGCCACCGAGTTCGGCATACTATTTCTTAATCCCAAAGTGTTGACAGCTTCAGTTAAGGTACTACTGAAGCAGTTCTGCTGAACAGACATGGTATTCTTTGGAAAAGGATGTTACCTAAGGAGGAAGAAGAGGCACCGGCATATAAGTTCAACATCAGAGCCCAGCTGAATGAATTCGTTAAAGAGTTTAAGAATGTCTGGGACATAAGAGAAAGGCAGCACAAGTAGAGATTCTTCCAGCTCACTGAAAAAGAAAAAATAAATATAAAAATGCCACATTTGTTAACGTTGTTAACATGGTCAATTTTTAAATCCTTCCCTTTATTATTTTTTCTACTGATTTTATACTTGGATACATCTTGCCTAGAGTTAAATATTCATCTGTAAGCTAGATGACTCTCTTTGTTTTTTGTATTTAATATCTTAATCTATTTGGAATGCATTTTGGTCAATGGCATGATGGGAAAATCTAACTTTTTTTCCTTCCAGATAAACAATATCTCCAAAGCCTTTTGTTGAATATTCCATCTTCATATGATATTCTTTTACCATATATTGAGTCCATTAGAGTCTATTATGATGACTGATCCTGACATGATGATTGATCCTGACACCAATGCTACACTATTTTAATTTTGCTAATTTTGTAGCCTTTTAATCTGGGAAAATAGTTCCCTCTAGAACTAGCTCAAGTATTATTATTTCATCAATTCCAATTTAAAATCTTAAGAGGATATCAAATGGGATTACAAACCTATTAATTAGGAAAAGTTAAATCTTTAAAACACAGAATCTTCCTATCTTGAAATGTATTGTAACCTCCACATTAATCAATTTTCTTTTACATTCCTGTAGTGAAGTTTCATCTTTATCCTAAGACAAGTGTTGTTTCTTGTAAGGAATATATATGTAGATATTGTGGTTCATTATGAAAATGATAGCCTTCAGTAGTTCAAACTCATAAATAAAATCAAAAGGAAAATCACAAATAATATAACAATTATTGCAAAAATGTATGACAAAGAAAATAAAGTATGGTGCCCAGGCTGGTCTCAAACTTTTGGTCTCAAGTGTCCCAAAATGTTGGGATTACAGACATGAGCCACTGTGCCCAGCAAGAATTCTTTAAAAACCAGTAAAATAATACTTAAGAGCAAAAAGAGGTAACTAAAAATTCACAGGACAAAATACAAATGGTCAACAAATATGCTGAAATGTTAACTTCATTAATAGTCAAAAGAAATGAAAATAATAAAATATTACCTTTTGGCTCACACACTGGCAACAAATTTTTTAAAGCCTGCTAAAAATCAGTATAATCACCCTGGAAAGTAATTTGGCAATATAAAACTTTAAAAGCTTATGCCTACTGGTCAGTTATTAGGCTGCTAGGACTCTTAAGAAAAATAATCAATAATGATGACAAAGATATATGTGTAAACATATTCAGTGAAGCCACTGATAATAGCCAAAAAGGAGAAACAAATGCAATATCGAGTAATTATTCATACAATGGAATAATTCTGAATCCAATGATTTTTTTTTTTTGAAGAATATGAACAACAAACAAATGTTCAGGAAATATGTGAAAAAGAACAGAATATAAAACTTTATATAATATTCCAATTGTGTATGTACATAGAAAAGAAGCCAAAATATAAAACAAATTAACAATTGGTGCTTCTAATTGAATTATATATTATTTCATCGCCTACAACATAAATCACTCCCCTTTATTTGTCCTTAAAAGCATCTCTCTTCATACTTTAGAAGGAACTTCCTAGTTCTAGCACTTCAAAAAGAACATTATAAATTATTTTCCATCAAAACTTTGATATAGTTAAACCTATAAGATAACCATCAATTATAATTTCTATTTATTTCCCGTTCAGATAAGCACTTCATAAATGTTTGCTGACAGATTACAAAAATTGTGCGCAAGGACTCACTCACCTCGACTTGATCCCTTTAAAAATCTCTAATACATAAGCTGAAGGCTATAAAGGAAGGATTAATACCATTAGTGATACTCTTGGTTGGTTTCTACTAAAGTTCTCTAATTTCTATCTCCTATAAAACAGGAACCCCTCCTTCTTACTTCAGAAAAAGTATTCTAAAATGGCAAGATCTGCATGAGTTTAGAGTCAGTCAGATCTGGGTTGACAACTGAACTCTGCCCCTTACCAACTATGCTACAAGTCAAGCCAGATTCCTTATCTATAAGGTGAAGATACCCTGACTCACAAAATTACTGTGATGAGACATGCAATAAAATACTAATTAGAGATTACTAGATAAACATACATTCTCCCATCACTCTTCCCCTCTCTCTCTTCTTTATCTCATCAGACTGATTTCTGTCAACTTTCCTTCTGAAGGCTGATTCAAAAGTTAATTTAGATTAACAGAATCTTCAGAGGGCTTTGGACACTGAACATAAACAGGCACTAGAAAACAGAAGAATGCCAGTCCAGTCCAACCAAAAAGGCTGGCTTGGGAAGTCACACTAAAGTGGTCCTTTTGAAATACAAAATATCCTAGAGAATGCCAAGATTCAAAAGAGACTTTTGAAGACAAAGTATTCCCAATAATCCATCCCCAAATCATAATGCCTCTACTTCCTTTCTTGTCCTTGTAAGTAACCTTTTAATAAACAAAGGAAAACCGTTAGACATTTTACTCACTGAGATACTGCCATAAGCCATTAGGATGGGGTTGCTGGGAAGTGGAACCTATGAAGAAATTATTAAATCAAGTCATTAAAAAAACTGAGACTTAGGTAGCACTTGTTATAGACAGAGTGGTAACTGTATTTTATAATTTTGAAAAGGGAAAAAAGAGACCCTAAAAAACTGACAGAGTGTAAAAGAATTATCAAACCTGTTAGTTTCTATAGTACTCATGAATGAGCTTGGACAATGTATTTTATCTAGAAATCTGAAATGGTTACCCTGCCTCCCAAACCAACATAGAACGTGGGTTTCTACTCAAGACAATAATCACCTCAATCTGTAATTTCCTTTCCTTCGCTTTCATTAAGACCAAGTTCCCTTCTTCCCACACTTCCTCAATTTCTTCTAATATAGTGAGTTGGAAAGATTCTATTCCATTTATTGCATATCCTGATCTTAGTTAATAAATCCCAAAACAATGGTTTTTCTCCTTGGGAATTCCCTTTATTGATACTGTAACTTACTGTACTCTCTTATTACCTCTTTCCCTGCAGCTTTACAAATGGCTTTGTGTTCCTTCATTTTTGCAGTTTCTTCTCGGTACAACTCAATAGCCTCCATAATCCTCTCAGCCTACAGAGGATGAGAAAGGAAAGAAGTCATCACAACATACTCCATCATCCCAGGACACTGAAACTGGAAGAACTGACCAGAAATTTGCCAAATGAAATAGCTTCAATCTGTTTAATAAAGACGTGCGAATAGAGTGCCAAAAAGCATTTAAAGACATTTTTGGTTTTCTTATTTTTTAATGTACAGGGAAGAGACTGAGTGTCATGGACTCAGGTGGGATGATATCTAGACACTCTGAATAGGGCAGGTCCCAGGAACACCTGAAAGGAGCACATATTGATCAAAGAGATTCAGGACTACTCCCATCTTTGGTTACAAGAGAAGGAAACAGGTTATAATCCCCATCTTTAAATCTCATCAACTTTTTGCCAAAAAAATGGCTTTCTGGTTGATACAGAATAAAACTTTTACTAAAAAGTTGAGATCTTATTAAAAAACGAGATACCACATTCTATATCAACTTACTGCTTTCACTGTTTCAATAGTTTTCTTTCCAGTAAAGTAACTGTCACCTTGAGTCTCTCCTGGAACCTGCCAGAAACAAAGAAATCCTTGAATAACACTGTTGACTGTTGAGTTAAAGAGCTGATAAATTAATCTTACATCCATATGAGAACAGCTATTATTATTTTATGAAAATACTAACAGTGTTATCAGCTACCAGTAACAGAACTTAGCATATGTATTATTGTAAGAACATCCTGCAAATGTTTAAAAAGAGAATATCCAAATTTTCTAATTTTTATTTTTGTGCTACAGTGAATAAAATAATTCCCTAAAGTCTCAATTGACAGAATAATTATTCAGTAGCAAATTTGGTCAATCACTTGAACCACAAAATTAGGATATACAGTTGAAGAGAAAGAATTACACAGATTCTTTATCAGCTGGTGATACCTGCAACTTCTAGCCTCAATTTTAATTCTATTAGAAATTCTGGACATTATAGTCAATTTCAATAAGATAACTATATATGGGGCATAATCTCAAGGTCCCCAAAATTTACTTACTGCTGGTTGGTCTTCTTTGGCCACACTCTCCTCATATTCTGCTTCTCTTTCCTGCCATGAGATAGATATACATTAATTTGAGAGAAAAAAACATGGTCTCTATATGAAGAGAAATGAGGAAGCGAGAAGCTGCTCCTTTGACAACATAATACCCTAATGGCATCTTTATCTCTGCCTAGCTTCTGAAATGGGTGACAATGGTCTTGAAAAGATCTCCTGAAGGTTCTTGGACTTGGCAATGCATCAGGTGTAACTGCACTAGACAGAAAACTTCAACTAGGACAGCCTGTCAGATACCTACTGGCATATTTGTAACCAAGCCTAAAGTTCTTACCATCTCCCTTTCTTCCTCAAGAATAAGAGGCTCCCTTGTTCTCTCCCAAAGTCTCAGAGATTTGTCATGGGACGATGATACAACATAGTCTCCACTGGGGCTTACAGCCAAACACCATATTTCCTGGTGATGACCCTGGAGGAGAAAAAAAAAATAAAGAATACCTCATTCATTGACCACTACTTAGTGGGTAATGTAAATATTCTTAAAAGTATTTCTTAAGTACCAAGCAAGCACAGAAGGCATGTGGTTACCTCCAGAGTCTGTATGTGTTCAAATTTGTCTGCATCCCACTGTTTAATCTTATGATCTTTTCCGGCAGTGAAGAAGAGGTGAGACTTGGGTACAAACTGTAGGTACATCACACTGAAAAGTGACAGAAATATTAAAATGTCATCAAATTCCAGGTTAGTAAAAAGAGTTTTACACACATAAATAGCTTTTGACTAGCTAGTTCTAGGGTGTCTGACTATATTTTAGAACTTGTATCACTGCCTGAGAACACTGAAAAATAGACACAGATGCTCAAGGAAAGTGATAACTTACAGGTGACTCAAAGGGAGACATTTGAAAAGACTATACATACCTGTCATCATGTGCAAAGAGAGACTTGTGGCAGTCCCCAAAGTCCAAACCCCAGATTTTCACATTCCTATCAGCGGAGCCAGTTGCTATGAGTGCTCCATCCTATGAGAAATAAAAGTAAAACACTACCTTGATTTTTGAATTCCGTATATGAATAAAAAGCTAACCAGAATATTTAACCCATTTCTTTCAAACACATTAAAATGAAGCCAAAAAACTGATTTTCATCTCTACTAAAAACACTGAATTCTTTGCTCTTACCTACAGAGGAACTTAAAAAGCTTGTTAAGTAAAAGCACGAACTCTGTGGCTTAAATACTTTCGTACTGTCACAGGGCAGTGCTGTGCCTTGACATAGGGTTATCTATTTACTTCGTTAGATAGGAAAAAGATTTTCTAATCTCTGGCATGGGATTTGGAAAGAAAGTGGGAGAAAGAAACAGAAGAGAAGCTGAGAAAGACTCTACTAGAATGTTTATGTAGCCCACATTCCCTATCAGTATTTCTCTTATCTCTCCTATTTCAATGCGTGGTCCAAATGGTTGTCAACATAAAAAAAAAAAAAAAAAGAAATACATTTAACATTGTAACTTAACTTTGTTAGTGCACTGACCACAGACAGCTATGAGGTCAACTCCTTTCACACAGAATAGACTTTTTTTTTTTTTTTGAGACGGAGTCTCACTCTGCAGAATAGACATTGTTTTTAATATACATTGCCACTCCTAATCAAAACTAGGTATTGGGAAATAAATGATTTTGGTCAAGAGACCAAAAGTCTACATAGTGTAAAATACCGTAACTATCCAAATATAAATCCGAGCTCCTCAGCAGCATTATCCTTCAGAATAAAAAGGAATGCCTTTTTAAAGTCTTTCATATTTTAGTGTACTCTACCAATTATAGTATTTTAAACAATAAAGTACTATTTGGGAGAGCTACAAGAGGGAAAGAGATAATATTTATAAGGATTGATTGAGATGATATTTGCAAAATTATTCTGAAAACATTAAAGTAATATATATAAGATACAATATATATTAATTTGAGACTGTTTTTGGAGAAAGATATATAACAGAATGATGATAAAAACAAATAATCTAAGATGAAGACATCAAGCCAGAATTAAGAAAGTATCTGCTGTAAAAAAGACAACATATTACTGAGACACTATTTAAACTACTTACATGAGAGATGTCCATGCATATAACAGGCAGTTTGTGTCCATACAGTGACAGAAAAAACTAAACATCAAAAAAACATAATTAATGTCTGTCTATAAAATATGGGTATAATTTATTACATGTAGGTCTAAAATATAACTTTAAACACATTTTTAAATTGCTTTATATCTGTATTTTCAAAGACAACCCACAAAAGACAGCTTGGCAGGAGTACCTGTGTCCACTACACAGACCCTCCATGTGCTTGCCAAGAATACTGCAGTATAGTGGAGGCAAGGAAGCCCCCAGAAGCTTACTGCCTCAGTCAGATCTCTGTATCTCCTCACTGAAAAGATTCCAGGGCATTTGTTTCACAAAAAAATTTCCCAGGCCCAACCTGGTCCTATCAACTCTCTGGGTATAGGGCTCAGTAATCTATATTTTTAAAAGCAACCTAGATGATCCTAATATATAGCCAAGTGTGAAATCACTGCCCAGGACACCTAGCAATGCTCTTATAACTACTTAGTATGACAGAATTTTCTGTCCACAAGATTTTTTGAACATATGAAATATAACTTGCTTTAAACAAAATTCATGAACCATAGAATTATTTTAAAATGCTAGCTTCCCTAGCATAGTTACATTGCTTTGATTCACACACACATTTTTAGAAATGTACTATCGCTGGGCACAGTCAAGGCCACTTCTTTATAGCCTCAACCCAAATTCTTAAGGTCAGTCAGTCAGAAAGGGAAAATATCCGCAGGCATAACCACTGTACCTTTAAAGTATCAACGTAGAAAATTTTCACAGTACAGTCCAGCAAAGACACAGCCAATAGCTTTTGATTGGGAGAGTAACTGACACACAGAACATCTTCATCTAGTTGCAAAGTTCGGGTTTGCTTCACAGAAAGTCTAGCACCACAAAAAACATCAAGAAAAAATAAATGAGTATACAAATTCAGACAAATCCTAACTCTTTAGAGCACAACAAATGATATAAGACGTCAAAAGGCCATTCCATAGCTCCCCATTTTCACTCCAAAAAATGGACACAAAAAATGTCTACTCACCTCTTTTGGGTACTATTTTCATCTTTCACTAACTCAAAATCCCAGAATTTGACAGATTTATCTGCACCACCTGTCACAAAGCCACGCTGAAAATCAAATGAAATTTCAATTAAAAACTATTTTAGCATAAAAACTTTGCTATGAAGATACATTTTAAAAGTCTAAGAAAGTATTTTTATTTAACGTCATGGGATAAAAATTAAGAAAAACGTGGTTCTCCCTAGCCCCTTTCACTGATCTTTTGGGTCTGCTGCCACAAACCTTATGTGAAAATTCCTACCATCGACTAACATAGGCAGAAATAATAACTAATGAAAAGTTCTAGTTATACTATTATCTAGCATCAAGAAGAAACAAAAACTCTCAGTAAACCAGTTTGAAAAATATACATAGAATGGATAATCTAGATTTGTTTAAAGTATTCACCTCAGAAGGATATAAATTTAGTCCTGCAATGTCCCTACTTAAAATAGTTTTGAAGCTGTTTTCCGTTATCAAGAAAATTAGTCTCATTACATGGCAGTGTTAGTGTAAAGTACATAGAACACTGGATCTCAAGTGTCTGTCCCTCATAGATTTATAACACAGGAAACAACCTTTCCGTAAATCCCTAGTTTTGTTGAAAAAAAGACCACACAGTTTATGGAAAAGATAGAACACTCTACAAATGCAAGATTTATTACTATTTTAGACTCACAGCTGTTTCGTTTGGACCCCAAGTGGTATTAAACACTCTAAACTTCAGTGATTTTTTCCAAAACTAAGTTCTACTTTCAACGGATGAAAATTGTCTATCATTGAGAATATTTAAATAAATGGGCCAAAATTTCTTAAGGTGTTGTCAAAAAAAAAAATCTCAAGATTTTCTAAGCAACAGCACCATTATTAGAATAAGCATACTTTTGCCAGGAACTGCTCTGAAGGTGAGCACATATTTATTGACTTGTAAGGGCTGACATACTTGCTAAAACTACTTAGCTTATACAGTCATAGATGTTTGTTTGAGGAAAAAAGGGGAGCAGCAAAGTCTATTCAGTTCTCTGCATCATGTTGCCCAAGAGAATATTCCCCCTTAAGAAGTATTACAAAACATTGGCAAAAAAATCATGATGGTAAGCAATTTGATGTCACGCTGCTGATAAGCAAAAGTAGCCAAACAAGATTTCATTTCATAATGACAGGTGGTCATTTATAAGAAGGCATCATATACAAACACTAAAGATTAGACCAAAAAAAAAAAAAAACCTCAGGCTTTCTTTAAAGAAACCCTGAGAGAAATCAGGGTAGCCACAGGGCTGAACTCCAGGGCTTTAAAATCTGGTTTAGTTACCTGATCTGGAGAGAGGGACATGGACCACAAAGCTCCATCATGTGCATCTATTGTCTCCAGCAGATTCCCTGAAGCCAAGTCATAAAGCTGCAGCTTCCCTGTCTGGGAAGACACAAAATGAGCACAGCTCCAATGAACATACGTACAACCTCCATGATTCATGACTGCACAATTTAGAAAAGACTTCATAACCAAGCTGCAAAAATGTGATCCATTGCTTAGGAAATGGATCCCACATTCCATGTTCTGTATTTCCTACCTGATTAAATACTATTAAATCCCCTACTGATGTGCTGGGTTAACCTTGGCAGGGCTACCATAGTGTAGAAGTATGGAATAATACCACCATGCAGTACTGGATGCATTACTTTCATTGGTTACACAACTTCACAAGGAAAATATCATGACCATAGGCAAATCAGAATAAACAAAATAGCAAATGCAAACCTAAAAGCCTTTAAAGTTTAGCCAATCCTTTAAGCGGATGATCCTCTATAGTTATTGGCTTAAGCAACCACCTCTTTTCCATCTGCTTTTGGTTTCCTCCTCTGCAATACATTGACAATAAGAAATGGGATCTACCTACAGCACTAAGGAAGGCAGTGAATTTAAAAAAAAATCATAATGGCATAGAAAGCAATCACTCTAAAATTCCTATTTAGAGGTCTGTATATGCCATAGTCATGGTGTCAGCATGTAACACACACAGAGGCAAAGCCTGTTTTACGATGAGCTTCTGCACAAGGTGGTACAGACAGCATAAGCTAAAAGACTTGAGTACCAGGTCTGCTTTGTGCCCATTGGTAAATTCATCCCCATGAACCTAGTTTTTCATCTGTAAAATGAAATTTATATCACCAATGTTTCAAAGATGTTGTCAGGATTAAATGAGATAATGTACATTAATTGCCTAGCACAGCCAGTAAGCCGACAATTGCATTTTAGCCACATGGGTAGTCTTAAGCAATTAAAAAACTACTTTCCCGACGGCAAATCAGAGATGGACATTTGTTGAAAGAGTGAAAAAGGAAGGAAAGTTTTGAGATGTGAATACTGTTTCCTGGCATTGTTCCTAAAATCTCTCCAGCCTACATTTTTTTGTTGAAGCAAGAAATATCCATTGTGATCCATACATTTTGTAATAAAACTCATGTACATATGGCTTTGTTTTATGGGAATAATAATGACAAATACTTGCAAAGCACTTTTCAAAACACTCCATAGACCTTGTTCCATTTTATTCTCACTACTGGTACAATCACTACTGCTATGTCTGCTACCAGCTCTATTATCGATTAGCTATTCGCTGCAGGCTAGTTTCTCTGCTAAGAGTTTTGTATACTTCATCTCTGTGAAATGGGTCAGTAACGTCATTTTCCACGAGAACACCAAGGCTAACAGGGTTAAGGTCACATAGCTAGTAAGTGCCAGAGGCTGGTACCAGTCCATCTGGTACGAAAGCTGCTGTCAAAAAGCAAGTGTCGTCATCCCATAATATAAAGGAACACACTATGAGCAGTTATGTGACTTGCTCCAAATTACTCATTTTTTTTTTTTTTTTTTTTTGAGATGGAGTCTTGCTCTGTCACCCAGGCTGGAGTGCAGTGGTACTATCTCGGCTCACTGCAAGCTCCACCTCCCGGGTTCACGCCATTCTCCTGCCTCAGCCTCCCGAGTAGCTGGGACTACAGGCGCCCGCCACCACACCCACCTAATTTTTTGTATTTTTAGTAGAGACAGGGTTTCACCGTGTTAGCCAGGATGGTCTCGATCTCCTGACCTTGTGATCCGCCTGCCTCGGCCTCCCAAAGTGCTGGGATTACAGGTGTGAGCCACTGCGCCCGGCCCAAATTACCTATTTCTAAAGGGCAGAAACTAAATCCAAATCCATATCTGCTTATTTCCACATGGTTGTCTCCCAATCTGACTAGCACCTAGGAATAAGGACTTGATCAGTTTGTCTTTACTGAATGCTTCTGTCTGCCAAGCATGATATTAGGTACTTAATATATTTAATTATTACCCTTAATATATTTTATCATTAATTAAAACACAATTACATATGCGCCCATAAAAAGACACATGAAAGGATGATCACCAAAATGTTAATGGTAGTTATCTCAGGGTCATGATTTTAATTTTCTTCTTCATAATTTTTAAAAAATAAAGTAAAACTTCAGTAAACAAAATATGTAATAAACTAACATCCTCCCAGATTACTTAGCTCCAGTCCATTTCCAATATGCTAAAAAGAAGAACCAGATTTCTTAACTTTATGAATTTTGAGTAGAAAAGATCCAGATATCCCAGAAAAAGTCTCCATTTACCTTTGTTCCTATGACTACCTGTCTATCACCAGGTACAAAGAATGAGCAAAGTGCATATTCACAGGTCATTGTGCGAATACACTGCAGTGTAGACCTATGAGAAAGAAAAAATAAAGAACTCATGTTAAGAGAATCTGCATCCCCATTTTAGAGGTCAGTGTGTAGGTTTCAATGCACTTAGACAGATCAACATAAAAGAAGATAAAAGTCTTAAAAACCCTTGACTCACACACAATTATAGTCATGGGAGAAAATACTAAAAAGCACCAAACTTTGTTTACTTTATAAGGCCTCCAAATCCTAAGGAACAGAAATCACACAAAAGCAGAGTAGAAAAGTGTCTGCTGGGCTCCACGGAGCCCAATCTGCCATTACCAAGAAGTGAGTGAGTCTGAAGGATTACAAGTCAAATTAGTACATCATTACATATCCCTACATTTTTTATAGGACCACAAACATTAATTAATTAATCAAATATATATCAAATGTCCACTTAACAAACATTTACTGAATGCCCACTACATTACCAGGTACTGTTCTAGGTGCTGGAGATACAACAGTGGATGAAACAGCAGAGGTTCCTAATCTCATAAAGGTTAACATTCTTTGGGAATAATAAATATCTAAATATTTGGTATATCAGGTGTTAGGTGCTATAGAGCAACATAATGCTGGGAGAAGAGGATGAAGAGTGCAAGGAGTAGGGTAAGAATGATAGGACTGTCATCTGATAAGACACAGAAAAAGCTTATGGATAAATGGGGAAGATGGATTCAGGCAGAAAGAACAGGGAGCACAACAGCCATAAGAAAGGCACATTCTTGTTCTGTTGAAGGAATAGCAAGAAGACCAGTGTGGCTCTAGTGGAGCAGAAAAGGAGAGTAGTAAGAGATAAGGTGTGTAAGGTAGGTAGAGTGAGATGGAACTACTGGAAGTGATCTAACTTCCACTATAAAAAGATTACACTGGCTACTGTGTTGAGAACAGACTATAGAGGGGCAAGCAAGAAAGCAGGGACACCAGTCAGGGGGCTTTACAATAACCCAGATGAGAGATGACAGTGGTTTGAATGGGGTAGTGGCAGTGCAGGTGGTAAGATGAGGCTGGATTTGGGATCACTTTTGAAGGTAGAGCTGATAGGATTTGCTAATAGATTGGATGAATATGGGATACGAAAATCAACAATGGGCTGGGTGCGGTGGCTCATGCCTGTAATCCCAGCACTTTGGGAGACCGAGATGGGTGGATCACTTGAGGTCAGGAGTTTGAGGCCAACATGGTAAAACTCTGTCTCTACTAAAAATACAAAAATTAGCCAGGCGTGGTGGCACACGCCTGTAATCCCAGCTACTCGGGAGGCTGACACAGGAAAACCACTTGAACCCAGGAGGTGGAGGTTGCAGTGAGGCGAGATCACATCAATGCACTCCAGCCTGGGCGACAGAGCGAGCCTCTGTCTCAAAATAAATAAATAAATAAAAGAAAATCAAGAATGGCTACAAGGTTTAGACTACAACTGGTAGCAAGTAATCATTTATTAAGATAGGGAAGTCTGAAGGAATAGCAGGTGGGAAGATTTTTGGAGACATGAACAACGTAAGTTTGGTTTGGGACACATAAAAGTTTGAAATGCTTAATTAGACATCCAAGTGGTGACACAAAGTATTTGTATATATGAATTTGATGTTTAGGGAGGAGGTTAAAGCTGGATATAAATTTATGTGTCATCATACAGAGAAAGCTACATGACAGATTACATAAAGTGAGTTTAGATACACAAAAGGTCCAAAGACTCTGCCCTAAAGCACTCTAACACTTAGACGTCATAAAGATAAGAAAGATGGAGCGAGGACTGAGAATAAACAGACAGCAAGGGAAGGGGAAATAATGAAAGTCAAAGAGTGTGTCAAAGACAGAAAGTCATCAATTCAAGGACAAAGCATAAAATAAAGCTTTTAGCTCAATGGATTTGGAAACAAGATCACTGATGACAATGACTGTTTTGGTGAAACAGTGGGGACAAAAGCTTGATGGGAGACAGATGAAGACAGAATGGAGAAAACAAATCAGAGAATGGGGTAGTAACTGGAGAGCAATGCAGGGGTGAGAGAGGGTTATTATTTCCTTTAAGGTGGGAGATATGATCATTAGCTTCAAGGTTTTGGAGGTATTTGATTTGACAACAGAAGCAAGGTATAAAACAGTCATCTGGGAAAGTAAAAGAAGGGTGAGAAATTAGGGTACAATTACTGGGCAGCAATAACAGCCTGCTTTTTATTAAGTTTAAAGAGTAGGTAGTATGGTTGTGTGTTTTTCTCTAGCCAAGTACAGTTACAAGCTCTAAACATGGAATAAGCTTGCCTTTTTTTTTTTTTGCACCACATTTTAAAAGGCAACTTTTTCTTCTCTAAGCTCCACAGGCTAATGGCCCAAATGCACTAAAGATAATTGTATTTAGGGCCTTAAGGAGTTAATAACTAACCCTTAAGAGTACCAAAAAAAATTAAAAGAAATACTACTAACTACAGCTATATAAAACATCATTTCACGAACCTGTTCCATATTTTAATGGAATCAGCTGCAGCTGAAAGAACAGCAATATTGTCTGAGCTGAATGACAAAGTCCGCACATCACTGCGATGACCCCCAATAGTGATTCTGCTTGTCCTGACAGGCTGAGGAGTAGGCAAGGATGGATTCAGTGAATACAATTCCACCAGGTTGTTCTGCAGCAGGAAGACAGCCTTTAACTCTCCGTGAGGTGAATGAATCAAGTCAAAGGACCTGTACAAGAAAATAATCATAAATGTTCTAGCTACCATCTTAGCTCACAAGGTTTACTTTTTCCAGGAAAAGGCTTTACAATGTCCTCTATCTATATAAAGTTTGAATAACTATAAACAATTTTTCAAGTAAGAGTGCCCTGAGGCTGGGTGCAGTGGCTCACGCCTGTAATCCCAGCATGTTGGGAGGCCGAGGCGGGTGGATCACTTGAGGTCAGGAGTTTGAGACCAGCCTGGCCAACATGGCGAAACACCATCTCCATTAAAAATACAAAAATTAGCTGAGTGTGGTGGCACAAGTCTGTAATCCCAGTTACTGCGGAGGGTGAGGCAGGAGAATCGCTTGAACCTGAGAGATGGAGGTTGCACTGAGCCGAGATCATGCCACTGCACTCCAGCCTGGGCAACAGAGCAAGACTCCATCTCAAAAAAAATTAAAAGAGTGCTCCGAGTATTGAGTAGTAGCTGAGTAGGCTTTTAAGTAAAAAAAAAAAAAAAAAAAAAAAACTAGGCTCAGATCCTGGTTCTGATACATACTTTGGTTCTGTGTATGTATTCTTTATAAGTGACCTTATATCCTTTCTGAACGTGGGACACACTTTTCTTTTTCTTAAATTAGCTGCAGGAAAAGACAGTAAATGACTAGCTAAAAAGGGTACTATAATAATCCAAATACAAGACAAAAAGTGGGCCCATGATTAGGACAACAGGAGCAGAGTGTGACACAGATGTCTCATGACCACCGTCTCCACATATATAATTCATACAGACAGCTTACAAATAGCATGAAAAAGCCAATAATACTTGGTAGCTTACTATTTCTATAACTTCAGATAATTTATTTTTACTCACTTGATTTTGGCAGAAGTTTTTATATTAGTCACCCGCTGGATTTCATCTTGCAGACTCATTTCAACATTAACCTCAGGATCTTCCTCCTCTCCTTTGCTAGAATGTAATCTAGAGGGAAGAAGAAAAGTATATCATGCTCTTATTTTTCTAGAAGCAGCTTTGCTCTTACTTGAGTTCAAAATCTGGCCCCTTGACCAACAAACTGTGTTATTCTGGAAAAGTCACTTAACCACACAGGATTACCATGATAATTAAACAATGTAGTATAAGTGGAAATGCTTTGTACACTACAATGTCATAAAGTATTATTTCACTTAATAGGTACCCTTAAGAAATGGATTCTGAATGCAATAGCCCATAAAATTTCTTGTAACAAGGTCCTTGTAATTCCAACTATTCCACTGAAATGTCTCCGGTTATTTTTCTAATTTCAGGACTTTTTAGAAAACTCATTAACCTGCACTTAACAATCCAACCATGTTAAATAAACCAGAATAGGTATCAAAAGATTTGCCAAATCAGATGATTTTCTGTCTCTCTGAGACTTGACAAATTTGGGTTATCGATACCTCACAAGTTCTTTAACTTTTAATGGTAATTGATAAGACAGTAAATATGAAAGAAGCCAGTTTTTTTTCAGTAACATGGGGCCTACCCAGGATACTTCATTATTAATGTAAGTATTAAGAAAACATACTTTGCTTTCTTTCTAGCTTTCTTCATCTTCTTATCCATTTTCTTCTGAATTTCCTTTTTGGAAAGGATACAAAACAATTCTAGCACAGAGTCAGTTCCCTAGAAAGGCAAAAGGTTAATGTGAGTCAAGGAGAGGTAATTTGTAATTTACCTAATTCTCAATTAAAAGTAAACAACAATATTTATTTTTCTTCCCTTAGTAGTTGTATTACCTTGGACAACTTAATCTCTCTGGGTTTGCTATCTCATCTGTAAAATGAGGATACCATTTCCTACTTGTAGCATTGCTCTGAAGGCTGAACAAGAAGTTAAATGCTCTTAAATTGCTTAGAAGAGCAAGCATTTAATAAATGGTTGCTAATAATAATACTGGTACAAAAGTAATTGCAATTATTACTTTTTAAATGGCAAAAACCACAATTACTTTTCCACCAACCTAATAGTAATTATTAATATTTTTGTTGTTATGCTAATAAAGCTAGAGATTATAGGTCCACACAGTACCATATAATGAATTATTAACATGAGTCAAGAAAAAGTCATCTTTACATTGAATATGAAAGAATGAGTGTTTGGAAGGAACAGCCTAGTCCTTGTTATTTTCTCCTAAGTATGGTACTCACATGGCAAGCAAGAATCCTGCCTGTCTTGTCGACTGCAAGGTTTACAACTCTGTCTCTTCCTTCCCGCATTATGGAACCAGCTTTTCTGCATGAAAGGATTCGCTACAGAAGAAGCAAGAGCAGATGAAGGTTAGATGTAAGTTCTGCTGAACTTCTGAAAAAAACATAATTCTAATAAGTGCAAGTGACAAAAATATTCCCTAAAGTGATGATTCCCTAAAAATCTGCAATTCTTACTTTCCCATTATTCAACACAATTAAACTTAAGAAATGAAAATGAATTACATCCTCAGGGGCTTCATCCGTCTCAAAGGCACCATCCTCTGCCTCAAGAGTATCTTGTATTCCAGGAGAAGATCCTTTGATTTTCTTGGGGTCTGGTTCTTCCGGGTCTTCAATCTGTTTTATAAAAATGAGAAAATAAAAGCTGAAATAGTATGTTCCAGGAGGCATGTTGTTGTTGTTGTTGTTGTTTTGTTGTTGTTGTTGTTGTTGTCGGAGACAGAGTCTTACTCTGTCGCCCAGGCTGGAGTGCAATGGCATGATCACATCTCACTGCAGCCTTGATCTCCTGGGCTCAAGCCATCCTCCCACCTCAGCCTCCCAAATAGCTGAAACCACAGGCACACACCACTGTGCTTGACTAATTTTTAAATTTTTTGTAGAGACAGGTTCTTGCCATATTGCCCAGGCTGGCCTCAAACGTGTGTGTGGACTCAAGTGATCTTCCTATCTCAGCCTCCCAAAGTACTGGGATTATAGGCATGAACCACTGTGCCTGGCCCAGGAGGTAACTCTTAATCCTGAAGACTTAGAAATCTTTCTTATGGCCAATAACAGCTTCTAATCAGTGATCTCCCTTATCAAACCTCTTCAGTAGCAAGGCAGGTATCAGAACTTATTAAAAACTGACTACATAATATACAAACAAAATATTACTTATTATACTATCTCCAAAAACTTTCTATAGCATAAGGACTACTGTTTAGTGACAATGGTGAAAAAATAATGACCCCACTCTTCACTAACTTCAAAATTTTCTGTATTTAGGTGAAAGGTTGACCATATTATAGAACAAAAAATTCAAATTGGCATTAGGAATTGCAAAAGCATCGCAAGACAGGTAGATACATTTTCTCCTTAAATAAAGAAAAGATAACCCCTAGCCTACTAATGTAACTCCCATCGAAATGGCTGCTGGACCCAGCACACACCGAAATTCAGCTAAACCTAAGGTCTGCAAGCTTTTCTTCTATGTAAATTCTTTGAATGTCTAAGAAAAAGTTATAGATCTTTTCAGAATATACATATTTATAAACATAAAATTCTACATATATATTTGAGGGGAAAGGTTCACAGATATTCTGAAGGCCATCCATGGACACCCAAAGGTCCAAGAATATCTGATTAAGAGTGCCACAAACTAAAACATTAGTATTACCAGAAGCTGTAAGCCTAAAGCTAACCTGAGCTCAAATAAATAAGGATAATGAGCATATAAGGAAGAAAAGCTTTTTTAAGTGTTGCAGGTTATTGGTGTGATAGAATTCCTTCTAATATGATGTGAAGTACTGAATAATTACATCTGATTCTAAATCCAAGGTGCTTATGAAACTTCTAAACATATTGCCCATGATTTTAAGAAGTAATTACCTCTTGCAGATAAGCTATGTCCCATACCCTCAGTTCACTGTCTGAGGCCCCAGTGATGAGTCGCTTTTCTTCTGACAACAGAACCAACCCCCATACCTATAGAATATAAAAAGATTTGAGTAATACGATTTTCAAGAGATTCCAGGTAGCATAATATGACATTCCAAAAGTCTGTTACACCGTAGTAAAATGTCTAGCAATTTAAAGGCAAAGAAAAGGCATATCGACAACCCTTTCAAAATGCACTAAGAGAAGTCTCACTTTTACAGAGAAAAAAATGGCCTGCGGTGAAATTGTTACTTTTGTGATACTAGCAGTTTGTCTCTAACCTCGTATAATCAAATTAAGATAATGGCTGTTCAGCATAAATCTTAACTAGAATCCACTCAAATGATGATTTTAAGTCTTCTATTTCTTTGCTTTTAGCAGTGTCTAGCAAATAAAAGGTGCCCCACTAATGTCCATTGCATAACTTTCAGCTTCAAGTATCCGGGAATTAAATAATGAAAATAATATTGTTGCAAATCAACAAAGAATTTAATCTTCTTGTCATTAATTCTAGGTATTACCTTCCTGAATGCCTGATATGAATAAAGCACTGAGGATGCAAAGATATATAAAAAACAGTCCCTGAACTCAACTGAATAGATCTCTGTTCAAGTAACTATTTTAACAGCTACCACGTGCTGCTTACCTGTCAATAAGCTAGGTGCTGCACATATAATATCATTAAACTTCCCTACATTCATAAAAGTGGACACTTATTATTTAGAAATGATGAAACTCAGGAATTAAAAACCACGCAAGGCCAATTTTTACTACATGTCAGAGCAGCAGTATCTGCTCCAATGGCTGGCATTGCTTCCATCATACCAGCCTCACTGTCCCTCAAGATGGCATATGATAATTACTGTGTGCACTAAAAACAAAGAGCCATGAAAGGGGAAGAGAAGACCACCACCTTTTCCCTTTTGCCTTCCCATTATTTCCCTGGGCCCATGACCCTACACTTACCTCAGTCCGGTGGCCAACCATTGTTTTAAAGCAGTGCTGAGTATCAAGGTCCCACCATTTCACCATGGTATCTTTCCCACTAAAAGAAGAAACAGGAAAAAAATATATAGCCTGTTTAGGAAAACTCATTCAACGAATAGGGAGATCCAAAACTCACTGTTGCTTTAAAAGGAACATATGCTTCAATAATGTCTAAAGCTCCGATTCTCTCTGATCTTACTTTTGAAAAGCAAAGAATCCTAACTTTCCTTGTAGTTATTCCTGTGCAGAAAATAAAATGTTCCACCTATAAGCACAAGAATGACTTTAGATGCAGAGTACCAAAGAATACAGAATTTGATCCATCAGGCCTTCCTCCTATCATTTCCATCATCACAGCACTGGCATTCCCCTCAGACAGTCTACCATGGAAACATCTTAGACCGCTCCCACTCCCTTGTCTTCCTGTCCAGTTAGTCTCTTGTCCTGAAAATGCCTCCTCTGTGAAGTTTCTAAGTATTAACTCCTCTAGTCCATTTCTGTACACTAACCTGAACTTAAGTCCTACTACCTGGATTATTTTAACAGCTTCTCATTTGGTCTCTTTGTCCATTGCTGTTCTCTCATCCCATCCAATGTGCAACTGTCAGATAACCTTAATTTTTAATATTTGCACTAGCTCAATGTTCCCTGTAGAATCAAAGTCAGGCTCATTGGCAGCAGTCTCAAAATTTCCTATTTATTTGTTCTTAACCCCCTAAATATAACCTCTCGCAGCCAATGGCCTCTACTACTCCTGCTCAAACACCTCTTCCCTACCTCCTCACTACATAAATCTAATATAATCCTCCTTCATGAGCAAACTGGAAAAAAACACCGCTCAAAAACCTGATTTACAAAGTCCGTCCCATATAACCCCACCTTACAGTGTTATTTCTTTGCCTTTATATTCCCTAAGCTGTAATATATATTTTTTCTATTAGAACTATAGAATCATTCTCTTACAGAACCTGTGTTATCTGAACAAGACACTAATTTACCTGTATCCTATCCCACAGAAACAAATCCACCATTGGTAAAGCATTTAGTGCTCACAGCTTTTTCTGAGTCATTACTATGGTTCCTCTAATTAATGCCTGGCAAACCTTGGTATCCCAGCTTTTCCTAGGTGGCCATTCTTTAGGAATATTCATTATTATATTAGGTTGAACAATATAAAATTGTTGATATTTGATGATTTTTTATGTACACAAATAAAAATTTCAAATGGTTCATCCTAATAGGTGTTCAGAAGGCCTATGAAGTACAGTACATCTCTCCTCAAAAGGCAAGCCGAATTTAACACCTGGTATTCATATCTTCCCTCTGCTCCATATTCTGATTCCTGGCTTTCTAGAGATCTAGAAGGTAGACAAAGCTCATTCTATAATGAGTTTCAAAAGGCTAAGAAACACAGAAAAACTGATATCAAGAAAAAAGAATGACAAATTAGAAAAATGATTTTAAAAATAATATAGCTTTGGATAGCTCTACGATACTACTTAGAAGAAATGGAAAGAAGGAATGCAGGAGAACAGGAGAGAAAACTAATGCATAAGCATGAGCACACTGCTCATGAGAGAAATGAGTAAGGAATAAAGCAAATTCTCTCTTCCTAGAAAATAACTGGAAATTAAACCATTATTTCTTTACCTAGTAACTAGCAGGTTCTTTTCTCGTAGAAACAATGCTTGTGTGATGGCATCCTTGTGCCCCTTTAGACGGTACAGACCACTTTCATTGATCACATCCCATACAATAATATCTGTGTCCTAAAGGGATCAAATAATACAGATGAAAAATAATTTTCTTTACCATATATGGCCCAACTTGACAAACAATGAGACTTAATTATTAAAAAGGCAATACACAGTCCTTACAGAAAATTTGGAAAGCATGGGGAAAGTACAGGGGAATAAACACCAGCCTTATTCTCACCAACCAGAAATAATCCCCAGACATTGTTATTGCTCTAGTCTTTATGTATAATCCAGGTTATTTTCCTATTAGAAGACTAAAATCATGCCATTCATATCATTTTACAACCTTTTCTTTATTCATTTAATATTATTTCCATTTCTTCCATGTTATTCCAGAGTGTTCACATTTTTAATGCTCACATAATAATCAATTCTAAAGTAATAGCACAACTTATTTAAAAATTTTTCTGTTTCAGACATTTAGTTTCCAACCTTCTGCTGTTATAAATATGCAGAAGTGAACATTCTTATATACAAATTTCTGTATGTATCTCTGATTAGAAAAAACTAAAATGAAAAGCTCTTGGGTTATATGATATGTTTATTTTTAAAGTTTTGGATTCATACTATCAAAATGATCTCCAGGTTGGGTAAATCTATAGAACCAGCAGGGATATGTATGACAAGGCCTGTTCCCCATTCATTTAACTCTATTATTAGTTTTCTCAAAAACTACTACAAATATCATAAGTAAAAAATGTTCAGTCTTAATATTTATTTTAATTTACATTTTTTATGAATACAAATGAGAAATATTTTACATGCTTTATGGTGATTATTGGCCATAAAGTATCTCTTTTGAATTGCCAATTCATGACTTTCTTTTGTCTATCATTCTTAGAGTGTCATCTCTTATTTGACTGTAAGTTATTAATAGATGAATGATACTAATCCTTTCTTTTTATATTGAAAATATTAAATATTTTAACTTTTTCAGTGTCCTCTGACTTGTTTTTAATGTACAAATGTTTCAAGTATTCCAATCTACCAACAGTTTCCTTTTTTAATTTATTTCTTTGCTAATAAAGTCCTTTTCTACCTTGCTATCGGATATTTACTTACATATTTTCTAGTTTACTTTAAAATGCTATTTTTTAATAGTTAAGTCTTTAATCTTTGTTTCATTTTGGTATATAGCATGAGGTAAAGCTTTAATTTAAAAATTTCGCTCAAATAGCCAATTGTCTAAGGACTGTTTTATAAGTAATCTATCATTTTTCTACTTATTAAAATGTCGTCTTTAAAATATACTAATTAGGAATGTAATCATGGATGTGTTTCTGAGATTTCCATTTGGTTGCAATAATCTATTTTGCATTGGTACTTGCATTGAAGTATCAATATGATACTTCTTAAATTATGGGTTTATATGACATTTTAATATCTAAAACCCCTGTTTTATTATTCTTTTCTTCCCAAATTTTAGTGTTTCCAATTCCTTTGCTTTTCCATATTAGGTCAAGTTCTAAGTAACAACTAAAACCTTTAAGATATCTATTTAAATATATCTGTATCTATATAAACATATGTCTAAACATAGCTTTAGCTATATAAATCAATTAGAAAACACTACCATCTTTTCAATACCTTGTCTTCCCATTCAAGAACATGGATTATATCTCTATAAAAGTCTTCTATTCCATTCTTCAGTAAAGTTTCATGGTATTTTTATGTCTGTTACTTAATCTGTTGTGAATGGAATCTTTTATATTTTCTAACTCATGACTTGTGAGATACAGGAAATTCTACTGACTTTACAGAAGTCAATGGCAAATAATTATTTTGTCTCTTCTTTTCCAGTCTTTGTTTTCTTTCCTTATTTTACTGTTTTGCGTAGCACTTCCACAATAAGAGTTATCATGGCTCTCTTCATCTTATTCCTACACTTAAGAGGCTTTTATCAGAAAATATGACAAAATGAACAAAAGGAAACAAAATGAACCACCCAATTCACACCCATCCTCTTCACTCTATCATTATACTACTTTGTATATTGACAGCCCATTGTTTTACCTGACAATTTTTGTCAACAACTTGCTTCAGCATAAGCCTTACATTCCTTTAATAGATCAAAGCCTGGGCTGATTCAAAGGCTCACCTTGGACCCAGATGCCAGTCTGCCTCCTAGCTGATCATACTTCAAGGTAGTGATAGCTGCTTTGTGACCATTGAAGGTCACATTTCCTTCCCCACTCAGGAGACTGAAGATTCGGATCGACCCATCCTCATACCCAACAGCTAAGTGTAGCCCATCTGGGGAGGGGCATAAGCAAGTAACTTCTTGTTTAAGCCCCTGAAGGATAAGAATCTGAAATCATAAAAATTAAAAACAATGTAGAAGAGTTAAGCATGAACTCAAGGGAAAAGCATAGGAATACTCAGGCACAGTAAAATTAAGAGCACCAATAATTCCAAATTACTCTTATGAATAAAAATGAAACTCCACAATCCATTTCAAGTTTTTTAATATAGAAATTAGTATTTGTACTAGGCAATGAAACATTTAAGAAAAGGCTTAATTATTTTCTCCAAAGCCCTACGTTGTTGTAATACATATAAAAACTCCCTAGGCAATAAAATAAATTTAATCCCTTTAATCTAATTCTTAACCCTAGAACAACACTACGTGATTTTCAATAAAGGTTTATAAATTCCTTTAACTGAGACCCATTTTATAAGAAAATAATCTGTGTGGCAACAGAGTACTGCAGTGGTTTTAACCACAAAGGACTCTTGGTGGCAACAAGAATCAAAGTACTAACCTCTTGGGAATCACAAAATGAATGGACAATATCAAAATGCCTATATTTGGTTTGGCAAAAGTGGTAGGCTTAGGGAATTCAGTCACACAAAGTATCAAAGTCTACTTTAACAACACTTGGGCATTATCCATATTAGAAAAAGATTCTGCCAAAATAGACTAACCTTCCTTTTACATGCCTAATATTTTATAACCAGCTATAAGCATAAGTCGAGCTTGAAAAATAGAATTGGTAGAGAAAAAATACATCAGGAATAAATAATTACTGCAAATAATGACCTGTAAATATTCCAACAAATAGACATCTAAGAAATAAGCTCCTATTTCATTGTGGTTTTCAGAATTCAGTGGCGAAGAACACAAAGGAACTTGATGCTTGGCTAGCTAGACCTAAAGGAAAAAGATTTTTCTTCTAAGGGCACAGACACAAAAAAACTCATGATAAATAAATCAGAGCCCCCCCACTTCTACTACCTCTCCATCCTCAAATACCAATAAATCAGTATCAAACTGGTCATTTTAGGCTCACCTTCTCTCCTTTCCTTAAGTCCCAGATGAAAACGTGTTCACAAGCTGGTACTGCCACATAACGTCCTTTCTCACCACGAAGTGTCACAAAGACAATATTACCTTTTTGGCTGCCGATAACGCCAAAGACCGCACTAGCAACATAGCGTAGGTACTGCTTGGTGAGCCCCATGTTGTGATGTCTGATACCACAGGTGAAGCAATCTGTGCATATAAACAAAGAAAACTCAGCTCCTTGGGTGCCTTGGTTCTACTAGGTTAGTAAACACCAACTGTTTTTTTGTTTTTGAGACAGAGTCTCACTCTGTTGCCCAGGCTGGAGTGCAGTGGTGGGATCCTGGCTCACAGCTGACTCCACCTCCTAGGTTCAAGCGATTCTCCTGCCTCAGCCTCCCGAGTAGCTGGGACTACAGGCATGTGCCACCATACCCGGCTAATTTTTTTTTTTTTTTTTTTTTTAGTAGAGATGGGGTTTCACCATATTGGCCAGGCTCGTCTCGAAAGCCTCACCTCAAGTGATCCATCCGCCACGGCCTCCCAAAGTGCTGGGATTACAGGTGTTAGCCACTGCGCCAGAACAACACCAACTGTTGATCATGTCATTAAAAGCATGTAACTTGTGACTTCTTAATCTTTATTTACTCTAAATGAATCATTGACCTAAAATACCTGGACATCATTTTTTATTCAGTGTTGACTCAATATAATCCCTCATTCCTCAAGTTCCAAATTAGTCACGTTGTCATGCCCACCTCATGCATATCTGACATTATAGGCTCAATGCAGCTAAACTGATTTACTTCTGCCCATTAAACCAGCATCAAAGCTTTTACACAGAGATTGGCAGTCTGAGACTGAACATATTTTTCAATGAATATCTATTGAAAACCTACCAATTAGACAGGCACCATTCTAGACACTGGAAATACACTATTAACAAGGCAAAATCCCTAACCTCATGGTACTTACCTTCTTGTACAGTGGTTCTCTAACTCTAGTATACATCCAAATCACCTGGAGGGCTTATGAAAACATTGCTAGAAAACACCATCTCATCTCTTCTCCCAGCACCTGTTTCTGATTTCATAAGTCTGAGGTAGGGCCTAGAATTTTTCATTTCTAACAAGTTTCCAAGTGATGCTGCTATTGCAGTTCTTGGACCACACTTTGAGAACTACTAGTACATGAAAGTCTGTCCTTCATTTCAAAATCAGAGCAGCCACTTACCCTTGGCATAGAAAATGGTTGAGCAACTTGGCACACTATTTTTGGAAAGATGCCATAATTTCTGCACTTTTATTAAATTCACTGAAAATCCATAATCCACTGGTTATTTATAAAAGGGACAAGAGGTGAATGAAGGAGATAACAAATCAGTCCCATCTGTTCTTTACATGGAAGAGTAAAAAGTATCCCCAAAAAACACCCATGCAACTTAAAACACACAAAAATAAAGAAGTTACAGTCTTTTATGAGGAGCTGTTTCTTTTTGCTATTGTTTTTTGTTTCTTTGGTTGGTTGGCTTAACTCTACAGGGTCTTTCTAATTATCAAATGCTGTTTTAGTCTAACACAAAAAAAATTCAATCTCAACTCTCTGATAATATTTTCTGGTAATAATCACTTACTGGCCTCATTGCTTCTCTCACAGGAACCAACATAAAGCCAATTTAAAATCAAGGAAAGATAATATTAACATGGTGATAATGCTCTTAGCCTAGGCCATTTGATTAATTCTTTCCCAATTCCTCTTATTCCTCCAGACTCTGTAGTTGTTCCTTATGTTTGTCTGTCTTTGGCCATCTACCACCTCCTTCTACAGTGTTTTCCTTGGAGAATTCATATAGCATGCCTAGGTCCAGGGACTCCCATCTGTCTATTTCCAGTCCTTTCCACCTACATGAATACTAATTATAGAGTTTCCAATATTTACTGAACATCTCCACTTGAATACCTTATAGTTTCACATTTAACATGTCTATAACCAAGCCTACCTTACTTCTGGTACCCCTCTCTTTTCTTCTGACACTAAGACACAATTTTCCCAGCTCTTCAGGCTCAAAACCATTTAATAACCTTTGAATTATTAATAAAAAAATATTATTATAGCAGCCAAGATTTAGAGAGTGCTTACGCTATAGTAACTGATAACATTATGCAATTGTTTAATTACATACAGCAATTAATGAAACCGAGCTAACATATGCAAAGCACTTAGAAAAGCCTCTAGCACATTGTAAATATGAGCATAAAAAAATTATCCATAAGGACCTGGTATGGTGGCTCATGCCTGTAATGCCAGCACTTTGGGAGGCCAAGGCCTAGGAGTCAAGAGTTTCAGACCAACATAGGCAACACAGCAAGAACCTATCTCTACAAAACATTTTTTAAAAAATTAACCAGGCATGGTGACGCACTCGGGGAGGCTGAGGCAGAAAGATCACTTGAGTCCAGAAGTTCGAGGTTGCAGTGAGCTATGATCACGCCACTGCACTCCAGCCTGGGTGACAGTGAGACTCTGTCTCTAAAAATAAATAAACAAATTCTCCACAATAACACCACAAGGGAAGTCACTCTTCCTATCTCTATTTTACAGACAAGGAACTCAGACCCAGAGATGGCAAATTGCTAACTCAAAGTCATTTAGCAGCTAATTGCCAAAGCCAGATCCCAATCCAGCCAGTCTAACTCCAAAATTTCTGCTTTTAACCACTATGCTAAACTGCTTCTCTTTGCCTCTTTCTCTTTAGTCAATTCCACCTGACTGTTACTCTGAAACAGGATCCCTTTCTCTCCAGCACTTTCAGTTCCAGCTCTTTATCACTGGATTACTGCACTGATTTTCCACCTAGCACCTCCGCCTCCATGTTTTTCACTCTTTTCATTTAAACGTCATAATACTACCGACTAATCTTTTCAAATGAGCTTTCCCTATCCTAAAGCCTTGAAAAGGCTAAATCGTTTGCCAGTTTCCAAAAACTCATCCTATCTAACCCCCGTATTTCTCGAATAAACCTTCCTGTCAGGCTGGCTAGTTTCCTTCCTCGTCCCGCGACCTTGTATTCTTCATATTATTCGTTTTACTTAGAATAACATCCATGTTCTCCTCTACTTCTTTTAACTAATATTATCTTCTGAGGCCCACTTCCTTTCGAGTAAGCCCAATTCTAGCAGCCTTTTTTCATCGCCTCGATATTTAAACTACCTCCCATACAACTTGCACTGTTCACTTTGTTCCACGTGCACAGCTTTCGCCTCCTTTCTGACAGTTCACGACCAAACCTTCTTCCGAGACCCCATGATCTCCGCTTCCTAACCTACAGCCCCCAAAACGATGTTTCCAAGATGCACTGAAGGCCTGGACCGTGGCAACAGACCTGCCACACATTCCTAAACGAGTCTTCGGTCAGGGGAGGGTGACGGAGGGTTCCACACACCGAACACACGGTCATATCATCCTCAGGCCAGCCCGTGCACACGCACGGTCAGGCAGCTCTGCTCAGCACCCGCAACCGCGCCGAGTAGCTGAGGGGCTTCCAAGTACTGCTGTGGGGACGCCCGTAGTTACCTGAGTTCCCCCAGCCCTAGCAACCGGCCTTTAACACGCCCGTCTCGGCTGCTGCTGACATCACGAACGCCTCAGCCAGAATCTGCAAAATCGGAGCCGCAGATAATGCTCTCCGCCCCAACCACGCACCTCCAGGACTCACCTCAGCCTCCACGAGGCTCCCAGCCGATTGGACCCGCCCACAAGACCTGCCCCTTCCGGGTCCGTTCCGGAAGCCTCTTCCGCCAGAGGTTCCCTTTGCCTTCTAGGAGGAAATGACGGAGAAAGCCGGGCGCTGATTGGTGAGCTCTGGCCAGGAGCGGAAGCCGGTGTTTCGCAGCCCAGAGCATTTGCAGCTGGTCACTCCAGTCTCCTGGGACTTTGACTCGCCGTACTCGGCGCGCTCCTGCTGAGGGTCGCCGGAGATGTCGCTCGGCCGCCTTCTACCAGGAGCCTGATCCGTGCCGCCCGCCGCCCGGATGGGACCACCAGAGTGCTGTGAGAGGAGGGACTGAGGCCGGGAGGGAAGGCGGGGCGGAGAGGGCCGGGGGCGCGGTCCGAGGCGCTCGGGACTCGGCCCTGGTCAGGATTGCAGGCTGAGGGTTAGTTCTGTCACTTCTCTTGAAGAACGAGCCTGGCGCCACTTCCTCGCATGTTGGTTAGGTTCTTTCCCGAGGCGTTGTCGGGGACGCCGTCTCTACGAGAAGTGAAAGGGTGGGCAGTCGGCGGGCACTAGGAACAGTGGTGCTGTAGCCAAGGAGGCGGGCGCCCTAGGGTGCAGGTGAAATGGGGCAGGCGGGAGCTCTTGCTGGTTGTAGTCCCAAAGACAAGTCCGTGTTGCCGTTCCTGTGGACTGGACATTCTACGGAACCGAGAGCACCTCGGGTGAGGGGTGGGTAGACGCTGAGCCCAGGATGGTGCGTTGTCTAGGTTCCCGCAATCCCTGGAGTGACACTGGCCTGGCTTTGTGTTTCCGCTCTCTGGCCGCTTGAGGGGGAAGTGACCAAGGCTGACTCCTCCTTGTTTGCTCACTGAGACTTAAGTGCTCTTTCACCAAGTGGGAATTAGCTTTTCTCTCTTGCATTTCTGCTACTTTTATTCTTGAGCTGCATAGAAGTGTTTAGAAATGAGTTCTGATGTCTAGAGCTGTGCAAAATTAAAGCTAACATAGCTGTACAAAAGAAGATCCTGCCGGCGCTTCTTGAACAAGGTATCTGCAGCCAGCCTAGAAATTAGACTTTTGTCTACATTATCTGATTTTCTTTAGAGTTTCCTGAGCTTAATGCATGTTCAGCTAATCTTCCATATTCAAGAAAATTGCAATAGCAAAGAATGCGTATGATGAGACTGTGGACAGCTGTAGCAGCATAGGAGTTTTGAAACAAGATTGCTGTGTATTGGATAAATGAGAAGGGAAGAAATTGTGGCCACAAACTATTATTTTAATAAGCTTGGTGGGAAAGGGAGCATTTGAGTGGGTATGTATGGTTAATATCCCTGACAGGTGCTGTGCATTATATTATTATGGGGAGAAGTGTGTGCTTCAATGGAAAACTACATAGTTTAGATTCTATCTTAACACCCCTTGGAATAACTAATTCTAAAAAAGCTATTTTTCAGTTACGTAAACTAGGTAAGTGACATCAATGCTAAATAATTATTGTCAAGACATGCGAATTCTCTCAGAGATTCAGTGGAAGTTTTGCCTCCTTTTGCACATTTATTTCAATATTCCTGCTCTAAGGTGTCTAATTCTGGGATTTTCTTTATCTTCTCTGCCTGGTTCCATTTTGAGTTAAATAAAATCTTGAACACGGGTTTGGTTTTATATTTGAATGAGTCATGATTTTACCTTTTCTTAAAAAACTATCTTAATATTATTAAATATTATGGGATGGGACAACCACAGATGGAAAAAAATGATTTTAATAAGAGTTGGTATCAGAGCAACTGTGAGTGGTAAGGTAATGCATCTTACAAAATTCCTTATACAATGTTTCAAGGATGTAACTCTACTTCCTTATTTAAGTTTCAAAATGCCTAATATATCAATATTTACAATTAAAACATAGTGCAGTTCATTTAATATGAAGGGGTACTACTAATTTACTGTTAGGATATGTTCTTTGGGTGCTTTTGAATTATGATGTTAAATTTGACCCAAGCCATTGACAAGCTTAGGAATGTTCTTGTTATACTGTATTTATTGTTGACATATTTGACTACTTCAGTTAGTCTTCCAATCTGAAAATCTTTTTTAAAAAATGTCTTTCTGATGGCATAAAATGATTCTTAAGTATGGTGTTGGATGGTGGCATAAAATGATTCTTAAGTATGGTATGCACACATATCCTCATGTACTCTGAACTGTTAAATATTGAAATACAAAGTCATAAAGAATGGTAAACCCGGTAATTAATGGCGGTCAAGTGCATGCACCAGCTCTCTTTGTACTGTTGTTATCCAGGCTGGTCTGATCAATGTAAGCATTTTGAAAGACAGGTAAACAGGTTAAAAGTTACCATTTTTCTCTCTTAAATGATATCATTTTCTTTCTATCCAGAAAAAAAGTTTTTTTTGAGATGGTGATCCAAGGTATTATGCCCAATTTTGCCCAGTTTTGAACAATAAAATCTGATCTCTCTAGCCAATCCAATTATTCATATTAAGCAGTATTTAAAGGACTTCTTAAACTAAAAGATGACAGGATTTGAGGAAAAAAAAAACAAGTTACAGTGTAATGAGAGCTGTTTACACTGCACCATTTGAATTATAAAAGATACATAGTGGGTTATCTTTGTCTTTAGGTCCTCTTCACTAAAGTACTGAAGATCATATGGATATGGAAATAGATTTGATTCATTATGGAATCTTCTGTTTGTCCCATGTAGACTTTTTGATCCTTGGAAATTAATGTCTTGCTTCAAGAGCCTTTTTTTTTTTAACTAGGGCTTAGTGTTTGTTTATGAACTTATTAAAAGTACAGAGCTGATCAACTGATTTTCAGTGGACAGTCTTGCTCTCCTTTAATGTTAGCAAAAATTCTGGCTGTGGCTATAGATTACTGGGTGTAGGAGCCTTCTCCTCCTCCCTTTGTCACTTAAGCAATCTGTTTGCATTCTATCACTGAGATTCTAATTCAAATTTATTTACAAATCTACTTGTATGAGCTCATATACAAATATTCTGGGGAGTGAAAGGATCTGTATCTTTCATGTGATTCTCAAAGGGGCCTGTGACCTTGAGAATGTTAAAAACCACTGTTCTCTCAGGGATCAGGTTTTTCTGCCTAGCTTGGGTTTGTGGCTCCATTTACTGTATGTATTACTAAGGTGTATATGTGTTTAGGGGAAGGAGAGATTCAAACCTCTTTTTGGTGAGAAACATCAATTCTGTTTAGAGATGGAGTTGAAAAAGAATTCAACCTCTGTTAAATACTGTGACACTTCATAAAATGCCATTAAATTTTGTCCTACAATAAGAGCTATGAGCATTACTTTTACTTATTTAACATCCAATATCTTGTGGGTCACAATTACTTAAAAGCTAGGAAAAGGATCCAACAAACTCTACTGACCAGGTATGATCAGGGATATAGGAGAACCACCAGGGTATAATGTCAAAGAAGATAATAGAGTTTTGAGGAGGAAATGATCAGTAATAAATGTGGATAAAATTGGATTAATTCTTGGATTTGACATTTGGGAAGTTATTGTTGAATAGAGTAGTTTTCGTATAGCTGTAGAGCGGAAGCAAAACTGCAGTAGGTTGGGCAAATGTACGAAGAGGAAGTAGAGCTACAAAACAAATTACTCTTAAAAAGTCAAGTGGTAAAAAGGAGTTTAGTATTCTGAAGAAGAAATGAAGTAGAAGAAATAAAGGAGGAAAACCTTTTTGAGAACAGGAGGATTGAGAGGAAGGAAAAAGCCAAGATGTAATTGTAAAAGGAGAATTTATGTTGTAACACTCTCTTAAGAGGAGAAATGGTCAAATGAAGGAAATTGATTAAATTAAAGTGATTTGGTGGGCTTAAACGTGTGGAATATACCCTCAAATCGTCACTTGGAAGTTGGAAACAGTGAATGATTTTGAGTTGGAGGGAAGTTAAGGTAATTGTTCTCCTATGCAGTTTTGACACCAGTTATCTCATTGAATGCTCACAATAATCTTAGGAGAATTACCCTTATTTTAGAAATTAAAAAACTGGTTCAGAGTCAAAGATAACAAAACTATTAGATGATGGTCCTGGATCCAAACTCAGACCCTATGATAACAGAGTCCAAATTCTCACATCGAACCATACTGTCTCTGCCTCACTGTGTAATTGTGTGTGGAAATATTTACCTTAAAATACTAAAGAAACTGGATTCAAAATTGTACCAGTATGATTTTACCTATCACAGAAAAAGGTAGTAACTACATCAAAAGTTGAGGAATTTTTTCCTCCCCCTTAATTTTGGTTTCTTTTCCTTCTTTTTGTTTTGTTTCTTTTTTGAGATAGGGTTTTGCTCTGTCACCGTGCTGGAGTGCAGTGGTGTGATCTCAGCTCACTGCAATCTCTGCCTCCTGGGCTCAAGCAATCCTCCTACCTCAGCCACCTGAGTAGCTGGGACTACAGATGCATGCCACCACACCTGGCTAGTTTTTTGTATTCTTGTAGAAATGGGGTCTCACTATGTTGCCCAAGCTGGTCTTGAACTCCTGGGCTCAAGTGATCTCCCCGCCTCAGCCTCCCAAACTGCTGGGATTACAGGTGTGAGCCACTGCGTCCAACCGATTTGGTATTTTTCAAATGTTCTGTAAGCATGTATTACTTAGAGTCAGAAAGAAAAGTTATCTTAAAAAAGCAATTTTGTCCTGAAAGTTGGCATTCAAGTTTACAAACTGAAAACTGTGTTTGTGTTTAATGGATTTGTTTTTAGATTATAGCTAAGAGCTTTTTTATGACAATGACTCATTGTCATAAAAAATCTGCAGGTAATTTTTTGAAATTATGAACTTTTGTCAAGCGTCATTCCATTGAGCATGAGGCAATTTAACCATGATAGAAGAGTATATAGTCTTCATTTGTCCTCTGTTCAGCTTGTCTATTTCAAGTCTGAATACTTATGAACAGATCAACAAAACTTGTGGAAAGACCAATTTGATGGACTAAACACCAACTTTTAGGTAAAATTAATTTCTTTATTTCAAAGTAATTTCAAAGGTGTATTTAGTGTCAAATAAGAATAGTCTTCTCATACAAATTTATCATTGTTTAACCTACAAGGCCTTTCTGAAATTGTTATATAAATGATCACATTTCCTGTTCCGCAGTGTTGATTTAGGAATTAGCATATTTCACTAGATCCATGTTTTGTTCCAATTAGCATCCCATGTCTCTCAGCAGGAAACATCACGGAATGTATTGTGGAAGGGCATGCTTGTTTTGTTTGACAACAAACGTGAAAACCATACTGAAAAACTTCTCAAAAAACTTCATGAGATCATGTCCTTTGCAGCAACATAGATGGAGCTGGAGGCCATTATCCTAAGCAAACTAATGCAGGAACAGAAAACCACCTACCTATGGTCTCACTTATAAGTGGGAGCTACACAATGAGAACACGTGGACACAAAGAAGGGAACAACAGACACTAGGACCTACTTGAGGGTGAAAGGTGGGAAGAGGGAAAGGATCAAAAAACTACCCATCAGGTACTATGCTTATTACTGGGGAGATGCAATAATCTGTACACCAGACCCCTGTGACATGCAATTTACCTACATAACTAACCTGCACATGTACCTCTGAACCTAAAAGTTAAAAAAGAGAAAGAACTAAGAGAAAAGAAGAGAGACTCGAAATTATGTGCCTCCTGATGAAAGATACACCATCTCATATAATCTTGCCAGAACTGACTACTAACAAGAAATTTTCAAATAACAGAGAAACTTATTGAACTATGCATGAATATGCAAGCAACAATATCCAGACTGTGGGACACTACAGTTTCAGCAGATAAATTTTACAGAAAAGGAAAGGTTGGATGGGGGACTTGTAGATTAAAAGAGATTTAAGATATACATTAAAATGTCTTAAATGGCTAATATTAAACTATGGTTTCTAGGGATGCACACTTAGGTGAAAAGGCTATATGAGTATATAAGAAAAAGATTAAAAGTTCTGATAGTAGTTACTTTGGGGGACAGGAAGGGGTTGAGATCATGACAGATCACATGGAGCTACTTCTGGGTGCCTGCACAGTTCTATCTCCTGACTTTGGTGGTGGTTCTAGGGGTGTTCCCTTCATAATAGCTCATTAAACTGCACATTTATTTGGGGGGGAGAAAGTTCACATGCCAACTTTCTTTCCCTGATCATCTGTCTGCCCTTATTTATTTCATGTTACCAACAACCTCCAACTTACCAAACCCATTAATCAGTTCTTAGTGTTGTGGGAAGTCAGGGACCCCAAATGGAGGGACTGGCTGAAGCCATGGCAGAAGAACATAAATTGTGAGGATTTCATGGACATTTATTAGTTTCCCAAATTAATACTTTTATAATTTCTTATGCCTGTCTTTACTGCAGTCTCTGAACATAAATTGTGAAGATTTCATGGACATTTATCACTTCCCCAATCAATACTCTTGTGATTTCCTATGCCTGTCTTTAATCTCTTAATCCTGTCATCTTCATAAGCTGAGGATGTATGTCACCTCAGGACCCTGTGATGATTGCGTTAACTGCACAAATTGTTTGTAGAGCATGTGTGTTTAAACAATATGAAATCTGGGCACCTTCAAAAAAGAACAGGATAACAGCGATGCAGGGAACAAGGGAGATAACCTTAAAGTGTGGCTGCCTGTGGGCAGGGCAGGACAGAGCCATATTTCTCTTATTACCAAAAACGGATAAGAGAAGTATCACTGAATTCTTTCCCCAGTAAGGAATATTAATAATTAACAGCCCTGGGAAAAGAATGCATTCCCAGGGGAGGCCTCTGAAATGTCCACCGTGGGAGTGTCTGCCTTATGCAGGTGTAGATAGGGATGAAACATGCCCTAGTCTCCTGCAACGCCCCCAGGCTTGCTAGGATTAGGAAATTCCAGCCTGGCGAATTCTAGTCAGACCGGTTCTCTGCTCTTGAACCCTGACAATGCGTGCACAGCGGGACATGGAAGTTCATTAGTGATTCTAGTTTCACCCTGACCTTCTGCCTTGTGATCTTTTGTTGCCCTTGAAGCATGTGATCTCTGTGACCCACACCCTATTCGTACAATCCCTCCCCTTTTGAAAATTGCTAATAAAAACTTGCTGGTTTTGTGGCTTGGGGGGCATCATGGAACCTGCCAACATGTGATGTCTCCCCTGGACACCCAGCTTTAAAATTTCTCTCTTTTGTACTCTTTCCCTTTATTTCTCAGACCGGCCAACACTTAGGGAAATAGAAAAGAACCTACATGAAATAATATTGAATTATCGGGGGCATGTTCCCTTGATATTAGTCCTGTTATTCAACCTTTCAGTATCATTTAACTGATACTTCTCAAGTATTGCTTGAAATGTTTTCTTCACTTGGCTTTTAGGCCACCATGCTTTCCTGGTTTACCTTCCTTTCTTAGCATTCCTTCTCTCTCTCACTTTCTGACTTGTCCTCTTTCCAGCCTCTAAGTTTTGTTGTAGGACTCAGTCCTTGGATCTGTTTTCTCTATTTGCATTTACTCTCTAGGCTATCTTGTCCAGTTTCCATAGCTTTAAATACCATCCATATGCTGAGAATTCCAAATTTATATCTTTAGCCGCATCTTCTGTGAGCTCTAGCCTCATATAACCAATTTGCATGTTTGACATAAACACTTGGTCATAGAATGAGCATCTCAAATGTAGCACACCCAAAAAGACATAAGAAAAAAAAACCATTGGTTATCACTCTACCCTACAACCTACTCCAGTTTTTCCCTTCTCGGTAAATAGCATAACATTTACTCAATTGTGTAAGCAAGTAATCCAGAAGTTATCTTTGGTTCTGCTCTTTCTCCCTACTGTCTATATTCTTAAGTCTTGTTGACACCACCTTCAAAATACATTCCAAATCTAACATTTCTCATCACTACCATCTCACCTAAATTATTGCAGTCATTTTCTATTGATCTCTGCATCTACTCTTGCCCCATCTCAGTTTCATTGTAGCTACAGTATTCTTTTCAAATATTATTTATATTTAATCATTACCATGATCAAGATCCTCTAATAGCATCCCTCATATTTAGAATAAGATCTAAACTTCTTACCATAGTTTACAAACAGTATCCTCTGGTTTTTCCCTCTCTTACCAACCTCATCACCTACCACTCATTACCTAGCTTATTCTGCTTTTCCTAAACTGGCCTCCTTGCTCCTCCTGTAATATACCAAGATCCTTCCTGCCTATTTGGCCTTTGCACTTGCCATTTCCTTTGCCTGAAACATCTCCCAGAGCTTCATGTGGTTGCTCTCTCATTGTATCTTTCTACTGAGATGTTACCTGTTCTCTCATAATGCTTACTTCTCTAGTCATTCTGTTAGATACCCGCTTGTTTCTTTATCATTTGTCATCTTCTGTCTTCTCCATGGAAACATATGCTCCTGAAGGGCAGGGACTTGCTCTTATTCACCAGTGTGTGCCCAGTGCCTAGAATAGTATTTAACACATAATAGATGCTTGCAAATATTTTTTTTTTAGACGGAGTTTTGCTCTTGTTGCCCAGGCTGGAGTGCAGTGACACAATACAAAGATTTATTCGATGAATGAATATACCATTTTACTGAAATAGATGTTTGACTCATAGGCAAATTGATTCTCCTTTTCTCTAGCAACAAAGAATTTCCCATTGCTTCTCTCTAGTACTTGACGCTGTGTGTCTTCCAACACCCTCCTCTTCTAATGTTTGTATTTCAGTACCACCAGCCACCTACCATATCACTGTCTCACACACCATATCCTGTAAATTGTCAACTCCTGTTCATCCTTCCTTTGTATTTTGCCTCTTAAATGTTTGCCTCCTTCTGTATCTCCTTTCCTAGTTGAAACCTTTATCATCTCTTACTACTTGATTGCAGTAACCTCCCAGCTTTTCATTTTGTCTTACTCAGTACATCCTCCACATTATCATCAGACTTTAAATTATACATATGGTTTATCTTTGTATCTCTTGCAGCATCTATTACTTTTTTTTTTTTTTTCAATAGTAGGCACTCAGTGAATGTTGAATGAATAGTCCTGTTTCTGGAAAGTAGAATTGGTGGGCCTGTGATTATTTTAATGGCTGTAATTCTTTGAAAAGAATTTATGCTTAAATAATCACTCTTTAATCCTGTTTTAGAAATTCTGTAGCAATTCTTTGTTGTCCATTGTTTTTAATGGACTTTTTAAGTGGCTATAATCACACAATATACTATTGGGATATTTCACAGTGGAATTTTGTTTACTGCTTTAATAGAATTCAAGTAATATCTGTGCTTCTCTATTAAAGTGATTCTTTCTTTTCTCTTAAAGCTAAAGTCTCCAGTGAATATTGAATTGCTGAGGATTTTGGGAAAAGACAAATCAAAGTTCCCATTCCATGGATCCCTTAGGTGCACCTTCCCAGTTTGTGGATGTGGATACACTACCAAGCTGGGGTGACTCATGCCAAGATGAATTAAATTCCTCTGATACTACAGCTGAAATATTTCAGGAAGACACTGTTCGATCACCTTTTCTTTATAATAAGGACGTCAATGGAAAAGTGGTTCTTTGGTAATTTTTTGATTACATCATATCATGAGGAGATAACACTTTCTCATAATTTATTCTAACCTCTTTTTTAAAGCCCTAGCATTGTTGAAATACAGCTTTGCGTATACGTATATGACTTTATTGAGGTATAATTGACATTTAATAAGCTACATATTTAAAGTATACAATATAAGTTTTGACTTCTGTTAATACATCCTTGAAGCCATTACCACAGTCAAGATAGTGAATATACCTGTCACCTCCAAAAGTTTTTTTTTCTGTTCCTTTGTAATTCCTCCTTCCTGCCCTTCCCTCCCTCCCCATCCCCAAGCAACCACTGATCTTCTTGTCACTATAGGTTAGTTGGCATTTTCTAGGGTTTTATTTAAATTGAATTGTGTGCTTTTTGGTCTGTTTTCAGCAGAATGATGGATTTAAGTTCATCTGTGTTGTGTGTATCAGTAGTAGTTCATTGCTTTAAAAAACTGCTTTACTGAAATACTATTCATATACAATATAATTCATCAATTCAAATTGCACAATCTAGTGATTTTTAATATATTCATAGAGTTGCATAACCCTCACCACAGTCCATTTTAGAACATTTTCATCAGCCCAAAGCCCCATTAGCAGTCACTCCCCATTTTTCCTTAATCCCTCTGGGCAACCACTGATCTACTTTCTTGTCTCTACAGATTTGCCAATTCTGAACATTTCATATAAATGGAATGAATACAATAAAATTTGTGTTTCTTAGTGACTTAGCATAATGTTTTCAAGGTTCATCTATATTATAGTACAAATCAATACTTTATTCTTTTTTTTTTTTTTTGAGGAGTCTTGCTCTGTCGCCCAGGCTGGAGTGCAGTGGCGTGATCTCGGCTCACTGCAAGCTCCGCCTCCCAGGTTCACACCATTCTCCTGCCTCAGCCTCCTGAGTAGCTGGGACTACAGGTGCCTGCCACCATGCCCAGCTAATTTTTTGTATTTTTAATAAAGATGGGGTTTCACCGTGTCAGCCAGGATGGTCTTGATTTCCTGACCTCATGATCCATCTGCCTCGGCCTCCCAAAGTGCTGGAATTACAGGCATGAGCCACCGTGCCCGGCCAGTACTTCATTCTTTATTAGGATTGAATAATATTCCATTGTATGGATATACCACATGTATCAGTTCGTTAGTTGATGGATATTTGGATTGTTTCCACTCTCTGGCCATAATAAGTAATGCTGCTATTTCTAAACATGGTGGTTTTGTGAGTTTCAGGGTTATAACAATTGCATTAAAGATCTAAGATGCCAGATTGTTTTTTAAGTCAGAAATTTCTTTTCTACTATTGCTTAGCTTGTGAGCTAGCAAAACCAACATTTTGAAAAAGACAAGGATAAAATGTTTTGAAATAATTAGAAACTAGGTTTCTTTTCTTCTTTTTCCCCACACTTGTTCATTCTTTATTGTTTCTTCAGGAAAGGAGATGTGGCATTACTGAACTGTACAGCCATTGTGAATACCAGCAATGAAAGTCTCACAGATAAGAATCCTGTGTCAGAAAGTATCTTCATGCTTGCAGGGCCTGATTTGAAGGAAGATCTCCAGAAACTTAAAGGTGAGTGAATTTTCTTTCATATATTATTGCTTAGAAAACATTCATTTTGATGTCCTCCACCTTAAAGAGGCATGTTTTGTGGGAAAATTTTGTAGATGTAGCTGTTTTTCTTTTGTTAAAACTAAATAAAAACTGCTTTTGAAAGCTCCATTTTAACAAAATTCATTACATTTTGAAATGTGTTAAAAACTGAGTCCTGAGAATTTACTACCAGTAAAACTTCTTTGTCCTGTCCTGAATTTTAAATGACAATCACTGTAGCTGTGTCTTTGGTAGCATTTTCTTGGCTGCATATTTTCTTGCACAAAACATGCAAGAAAAGCTTTGTGAGATGACTCTCCTCGTGAACTGAAAAACTGTTAAATTACCGAGCTTGCATCCCTTTGTTATTTGTGCCCAAATGAAATACTGTGAAATTCAATCTTCCCATTGTATAAAAACTATTTATGAAATACAGCAATGTTTCTTAAAATGTAAACAGCAAAGTTAACCTATATGAAATCTTGCTTTCCTTCCCTTCTATCATTTAACACTGACAACTGGTTTCTAACCTAATAAAAATATTAGAACTTGAACAGGAATACTGATAAGTGCTGGCTCTATGAAAGAAGGGATAGAATGGGAAGAATTGCATTTTTTGATCCAGAAACTGAATTTTGACTGTAAGGACAGAGTGGGGGAAATGGCCGTAACTGAACTGCAAAACAAGATACCATGAAGAACATGTAGAAACTAGAAAGGATATTGAAGATAATACTGAGAAGTTCTTTGCTGAAAGGAACAGAGAAGCTGGTCTGGAAAAATTCCTAATGGCATGTGTGTATGCTTACATACACATAAGAGCTAGACTTATGGATAATAAAGAATATAAGAAAATTTAACACAAATATACAAGTAAAACCTCAATGTTAAACTGCATGTTTGAGCATCTCCAAGCTGAGATTCATGTTATAACTCTGCTCTTTAATAACTGTGTGACTTAAGACTGGTTACTTCACCTCTGAGTCTGAGCTTCCTCATCTCTAAAATGGGGATGGTAATAGTAGTTCCTACCTCAGTTCCTGACATATAGTAAGAGCTTAATAAATATTTGGAGATGGAAAAAACTAATATCTTGAAGACTAAATTAAATAATGGACATTAGGTGCTAAGCACATCCTAAGTGTTCAACAAGTATTAGTTATTAGGTGTTAGTTATTAGGCCCCAGTTGTCTGTTTAATGAATCAGTGCCAACCTTTAGGTTATTACTAAAGGGCTGCATACTTAATCCTATCCCCTTTTTACATTTTTATTAATGACTTAATAAAAACAAGCATGACTCCAAATTTCTAGATGATAGAAAGCTGAAAAGAGTAACAGGAGATACTGGATGATAGACTAAAGATTTTCATGTGACTGGAAGTATAAGCCAAAAAATGAAAAAATTAACAGAGATGAATATTAAAGTTTTGCAGTAAGTTTAAAATGATAGGGAAACATCATTTGATTAACACTTTCTGTCTCAGTAAAATGGCATTATTTTCCATTCCATTTTTCTTTTTCTTTCTTTTTTTTTTTTTCCTGAGACAGAGTCTTGCTCTGTCACCCAGGCTAGAGTGCAGTGGTGTGATCTTGGCTCACCACAACCTCCGCCTCCCAGGTTCAAGTGATTCTTCTGCCTCAGCTTCCCGAGTAGCTGGGACTACAGGTGTGTGCCACCATACCTGGCTGATTTTTGTATTTTTAGTGAAGATGGGGTTTCACCATGCTGGCCAGGCTGGTCTTGAACTCCTGACCTCAAGTGATCTGCCTGCCTCGGCCTCCCAATGTGCTGGGATTACAGGCGTAAGCCACCATGCCCAGCCTCCCATTCCATTTTTCATTCAAGGAACCTTAGGATTAACACTTCGCTTTTTCTTATCCCTCACATAAAGTCTATCACCATGCCCTAAATTAATCTTAAATCTATTTCTGTCTGTCACCATTGTCTCCAGCAACTAGCATATGCAACCATCATTCCCTGCCTAGACTACAGCCATATCCTCTCTCCCAGCTGGTCTCCTTACATCCATTCTTCGTTTCTTAAATCCATTGTCCACACACAACCAGTAAGTGTAAACCCCTTATTGTTCGTTTACTTCAAACTATTTAGTGGCCTCTCATTAAACTTAAATTCTAAACTCCTTAAACTGATCCCCATGTCCTTGCAAGATCTTACTCACTTTTCTCCAGGCTTATCCCATGCCCCCTTTTCCTTTCCTTACCATGCTTGAGCCAAACTGATCTCTTCTCACTACCTTGTCACAAGCTCCTTTCCAGTTTTGCACTTGATGTTGTTCTTTCTCTCAGTTGTCAACCCTTATTCTTAAGTCTTGGCTTGTATCTCTTCCTGAAAGCACTATTTCTTTTTACTTCAGAATAGATCAGACCACCCATAGTATGTGCTGCCAGCCTGCAGTACTTCTCTCTTGTTGGCTTATCACAATTGTAATCCTGTAAATTGTCTTGTGATAACTGTATCCCCATTAAACTGTAAACTCCATATGGACAAGAACTGTATGTCTTTTATTACTACTATAAGTTGGGGTACCCCTAATAGAAAATTACTAACATGGTGGAAACCACATTATTTAAAGAGCTAGGATTAGCATAGAGAAGAGAATATTTGGGGGAAACAGTACTTATTTTCAAATACTTGAAAAAGGATCATATTGAAGAGGGAGAATGATAATCATGGTGTGTTCCTAGAATCCTTGATAGGAAAATACATAAAACCATATGTCAATTCAGTTAGTATCTAAGCATCAATACTAAAATTAGAATAGGCAGGGTTGGCTTATTGTACCTAAATTTCCTCCCTGAAAAAAATCAGTCTTATATTCACTTTGTGAATTTAGAAATTTTATGAAACTAAACCTATGTGAGGTTTGTTTGTTGTATGAACCTGTATGTGGGTGTGGATGTATACATACATTCTTATATCTTTTGATACCAAAATAATTATGTGTATGCTACTCTCAAAATAAGGTAATCATGTACATATTCTGCAATTTGCCTTCTTCAGCAAATGAATTCCACCTTTTAATTTCTGAAATTACATCTACTACCCAGACCATATTTAAAATTTCCAGCTGATCCAAAAATGTCCTTTGCAGCAGCTATTTTATCCAAACCAGTATCCAATCCAGGACCAGACATTGCATCTTTTTGTTATGTTTATTAATTTGTCTCTGTGTGTGTGGTATTTTGTAATCCAGCACAGTCCCCTGTCTATGACACTGACTTGTTGACTGAACAAGGCCACTTATTTTTCACAGTATTCCTCCTTCTAGATTTGTCTGATTTACTTGAGGTGCCATTTAGTTTGTATTTCCTATAAACTTGACATTATGTCTAATGGAGTCAAGTTTTGCCTAAAATATTTCATAGGTGATGTTGTGTTGTCTGCTTAATGTTGTATCATGTTAGACCTGTTAGTGGACTGTTACTCATATTAAGATGGCTCTCTTAATTGGAGTGAAGATAACAGTTTGACCCTTACATTCCATTTTTTTCTTGCCAAGGTCCCTCCTGGAACCCTCCATCCTCCCTTTCCTCTCTAGACTGTTCTCTGTGCCTGCTGCACAGTTACTGTTCTGGAACTTTTTTTTTTAACATCATCCTGGGAAATCCTTTTTTCTGTTTGGTGGATTGGATCTCTCATTTTTGTGAGTAAATCTACCAGGAGATTTTAAAGAAGAATGCAATAGGGTAAAACTACTGAGATTTTACTTCCACCTTCGTACTTAATTGGTAATTTGCTTAGAAATAGAATTCTAGTTTGGAAATCATTTTCTAGAAATTTGAAGGCACTACTCCTTTGTTTTCTACTTTGATTAGTGCTGTTGAGAAGTCTTGTGCTATTCTTATCCCTGATTGTTTGTATGTTACTGGTTTCTTTCTGGAAAGCTTCTGATCTCATCTTTGTTTCTTAGTGCTCTTAAATTTTACAGGGATTTGCCTTCATATGGTTTGGGTGTTTTATGGGCTCTTTGAATCTAGAAACTGATGTCTTTCCATCCTGGGAAATTTTTTTGTTTTATTTCATTAATAATTTCCTTCCTTCTGTATTCTCTGTTCTCTCTGAAGAAATCCTATTAGATGTTGTATTTTCTTGTTTAATTCTTCAGTTTTCTCATCTGTTATCTCTTATTTTCAATTTATTTTTGTTTTATTTTCTGGATTCCTTCAAGTTTAGTTTTAACCCTTCTATTGAACTTTTCATTTCTGCTGTCATATTTTTCACTTGGCTATAGCAGTTACATAAGTGCCATTTCCTGTTCTCTGAATAGTTTGTTTTTATGACATTCTGATTTTAAGTTTTTTTTCCCCTGTGTTGTCTATTTCTTGAGCATGTGTTTAGTCTCCCCTTTTAGTTTTTGTTAGAGGCTTTTCTCACTTTCTGGTGATCCTTAAGTGTTAGCTGGATTTAAGATGGAAGAACTGAAAAGTTCATGGGAAACTTTGTACACATGGGTGTCTAAGTCATTTCAGGCTGCTATAACAAAGTATCCTAGGCTGAATGGCTTAGGAAGAACAGAAATTTCTGGAGACTGAAATCCAAGATCAGGGTGCCAGCATAGTCAAGTTCTGCTAAGGGCTGTCTTCCTGGCTGCAGACTGCTGAGTTTTCATTGTATTTTCACGTGGCAGAGAGAGGGAGCAGACTCTCTGGAGACTCTTACAAGGATTCAGATCTCATTCATGAAAGCTTTACCCTCATGAGCTTATCTAATTCTAATTACCCCCAAAGACCCTACCTCCTAATACCATCACATTAGGGGGTAGGGTTTAACATATGAATTTTGAGGGAACCGAAGCATTCAGTTCATAACAGTGGGCAACGGTTATTGCCTGGTGGGTCTTGAAGCATATGACAGAATGGGACTCCTGCCTGTTATTTTATTGGGGAACTTCCCCAGTTATCTGTAGGTCCTTTAGGTTTGGGCCTCTCAATTTCTTGGAAAGGAATCCTCCAGGAGTGTAAGCCTAGATGTCTGTTTTGAAAGCCATTTAGGGGCAGAGGGCTAGACCTTTCACTGTTAAGTATAACACTTTAACTAAATCCCCTCTTTTCAGCTGTGCCTGGGGTTCTGGAATCCAGAAACTCTCTAGTTGAGCATCTCCAGAGAATAAACTTCTTCCCTGCTGCTCTGGTGGTAAAAAAAAAAAAAAAATCATCACCTTACTGTGCTGGCTGGGGGAGGGGTTGTTGCAGATTTGACTGTTTTTATACAAACTTTTAACTGGACCTCCTCTTTTTAGCACCACATCCCACTTGACAGCATAGCCTTTACAAGTACTTAGGGCTCCAATTTCTGAGCCTTTTTAGCATTCTCTAGTAATAATAACAATAATTTCTTATGCATGTATGCACTTTGCATATAGTAACTCGTTTAATCCTGTGAAGTAAGTACTACTAGTATCCCTCTTAAATAGGAAATTGGGTTGTAACAAGGCTAAGCCCCTGCCCAGAGTGTCTTGACAGGAACTCAGGATTTGAATCAAAGCAGTCTGTCTTGTATCCAACACTGCTTTTCAGTACAGATCAACTTGCTTCGTATTAGTTATCTCATTTCTGCAAGCAATTAGGTTTGTCTGCTCTGTTGAGTCAGTTACTAGTCAGTTGACATTCTACCTTCCAAAATTTTGATGATGCTTATCTGCTTCATGGTCTTTCTCATTCTCTTTATCTGTCTCTGTGCTTATACCTATTGTATTGCTTCACTGTCATTTTGGGAACAGAAGTAACAGAGATAAATGCTTGTGTTCAGTCTGTATTTTTAACTGAAATTTCTCAAAGTTCTCAATACTTTCTCTGTTTCATGCTTTCATTTGTTTTTGTTTCTGTTTTCCTAACACATCCAAACTTATGTGTGTTTCCATTGTTTTCAGGGTGCCGAACAGGTGAAGCAAAATTGACAAAAGGATTCAATCTAGCTGCCCGGTTCATCATTCACACAGTGGGACCTAAATATAAAAGCCGCTATCGCACAGCAGCTGAGAGTTCCCTTTATAGCTGCTACAGAAACGTACTTCAACTAGCAAAGTATGGTCTACTCATTTTCTGGACATAGCATATCATACATTGTTAAAGGCCCCAGTTTTTAAAGATAAAGGCCCCAGTTTTTAAAGATTAAAAACCTAGCAGTGGAAGTCAAATTTTGAGGGACTTAGGTGATTTAGGAGGACCCTGACAATAGAATTATCTTTTCAAACTTAGCGGGATAAATGGGATAGATTTGAGTGACTTGAGAATTTAACCTTTTCCCATTTTTTATTCAGTTTTTATGTGAGATATATATCCTCCAAAGAGTGCAATTAAATTGTATATGAATAGAATTATTGAGTGGTACAGTTGGGTTAGCTATTATAGTAGATTTGTTGAAGAGGGAGGAAAGGAGAAGTTGAGCTAGATTTTGAAATTACTTATATATTGTTGTGTATGTATTACTGATATTTCTAGTGCAATTTTTGTGTTTTCCCTTTGTTGCAGAGAGCAGTCAATGTCTTCTGTTGGCTTCTGTGTCATCAATTCTGCAAAACGTGGTTATCCTTTAGAGGATGCAACACACATAGCACTTCGTAAGTAATATCAGAGATGCTGTACATGAATTGAATCTTAAAAATTTTTTAAATTCTGGGCATGGTGGCTTATACCTGTAATTCCAGCGACTTGGGAGGCTGAGGCAGGAGAATCACTTGAGGACAGAAGTTTAAGGCTGCAGTGAGCTGTGATTGCATCTATGAATAGCCACTGCACTCCAGCCCGAGCAACATATAGTGAGACCTCATCTCAAAAAAAAAAGGTTTTTTTTTTTTTTAATCATTAAATAGTTACAGCCAAAGAATATTCATTGATTAAGTGATTGTGGCTCCCTGGAGGGAAGTTTTTATTGGCAAGTTGCAGAGCTCTCAATTTACTTTTTCAGGTTGGCATTTTTATCCATTTGAATAACGGGTCAGAAGACTTGCCTATTAATTTTTTTAATTTAACAGAATTTAATTGAGCAAAGAATGAGATTTGAATTGGACGGCCCCCAAAACCAGAATAGATTCAGAGCAGCTAGCCTCTTGAATTTGAAAGTGATGCTAAGTTAGAAAGTATGGCTAATGCATTGAGTAGTTAAATCAGAATTTAGAATAATCTTAACAGTCTGTAACAAATGCAGTCAGATTTCATGATATCATATTTGTATAACACTTGGCAGTTTAAATAGCCACATTCACACATGCTATTTGAATGTAAAATTCTGCATTTAGGTTTTCAAAAGACTGGGCTCAGTCAATATGAGCCAAATGCCTGTATGTCACATAAAAATATGGCATTCAGCTAAAGAGAGTCCATGATCTCACTGTATATATGCAGATTTAGACCACATCTTGAGTTTTATATATATTTCTGTGTGTCATATTGCATGAGACACTGACAAACAGGAGGACAAACAGTTTGAAACAGTAGTGGTGTTTCTTCTAAAGAAGAGCATGCTTTTAGCAAATATGATGTCCATCTTCAAATATCTGAAGGAATCTCATTTGGACTTATTCTGTGCTACATTTTTCAAGCAGCAGTTCTTTGGGATATTGTCATAAACTACGATGAGCATCTGGTGAAAGAACACTATGGACCCTTTGTCAAGAAAAATGTGCATAAATACAGAATTTGCATGTTATTTCAGGAAGTTTACAGATCCTCATCAGGATTGTAGATAAGAACTCCAACTGTACAAGGCAAGGTCTAAGACCAAGTTATAAGGAAGAAAATGTTGGTCCCACTTGAAGTAGTACTAACTGTAACAGCAAAGTATTTTAGCGAACTTCTTGTCACTAGGAACATTCATGCAGAGGTTACAGGACCATCTGTTGCAGCTGTTATAGAAAACACTTCTCATTTCAGAGACGAACTATACTAAATCATCTTTAAGAGCCCCTGTTATCTCTAGAATTTAAAGTCGAAGAGCTGAAAGCCTTATATCCACAAATACCAAAAAGATATTTGAATGTATAAGTTATTATTATGTAGCCTGGAGTTTAGGGTGAGTATCTGTTCAGTCTTAGTCTTATTTAATTATAACCTATTTTAAAAACCAATATTCTAACTGCTCAAGGATTTTATAGTAAATTTGTATATTTTATAATTAAGCTTATATACATTACATTAGACTGAGCTTGAGGGGCAGGGATCTTATCTTTTTATCTTGAATGCTTGACATATGGTACTTGCTCAAGAAATATATATTTTTAAAAGGGACAAGTAAATTCCACTTACTTTACTTAACAACCCTGTGTTTTAGGTAGTGTGGTGTCCGTTGTACAAATAAAAGGTCTCAGAAATTTCTCCTGTTATGAGGGTTATGCAGACTTGGAGCATATATCCAGACCTTCTGACTCCCAGGTCTAGTAACCTGTCTGTTATACTAGATGATTCATTATGCTTGAGTTAGAACTGCTTCAGTGGAAGACTACTATGTTATTACATGCCTATCTTCTAAATGGTACCTAACGAAAGCAAAATTCCTCCCTTGATATAATTGCTCCTGACAAGGCTTTTGGCTGGTCTCTGCATTCTCTGATTTTACTTAGTCCTTGTCATATCATCTCATAGCTTCTTTTATATATCTATTTTTTATTAAGGTAATCATAAGGATTCTATTTTAAAGAGGCAGCATTATTTTGTAGAAAAGGTTCTGAATAGGGGGTTAAGAAGACTGGTTTTTAGTTCTAATTCTACCAGTCCAACTCTAGCTCTGTGGCCCCAGACAAATCACTTGATACAGTACTATGAAAGAGGTCAACTTTGAGAGTAACAGCAGATAAAGATCAATAATGGGTATAAGGGACTTTGATGAAGCAGTTTCTAGAAATATAATTAGCAAAAAGGAAATGTACAGCTCTTAAAAAGTGGGCACATTTGACTTATTAGGCCTTAAATCTAGTGGCAAAACTGTAGCATTTCATTCAAACACTTACACAGAAGATGATGCCTTTTGCTTGAATACTTTATCAAGCATTTGGAAAACAAATGGCTTATACACTTTTGTAACATATATGGGCCAAGAACAAATCTAATGATATAACTCGAAGTCCTTAGTATCAAAAGCTTTCTTATTAAACTATTATCAAAATTTATTTCATTTGAAGCCTAAATAATATGTTTTTGATAGATATATTAAGACACGTGCTTTTTTTTTCTTAGTTCATGTGCAGTTTGTTTTTCTCCAGAAAAAGCCTAAAGAAATATCTGCATTGAAATAAATTTATCAGGTTATTTATTCATCCAACAAAAATTTAAGTGACTACTATGTGCTGTATACAAAATACTACAGTGGTGAGAAATAAGATGAAGGTGTTTGTTCTCGTGGTGTTTCCAGATGGGGAATTATAATGTCCTAGATGTCATTCTTACAAATTATAGGGTATTCACTAGGTATTTAAGCACAGGACATTGTGGTTGGTTGCAGAGTATAGTGCACAGATGAAACTTTGAAAGGAAGAGCGTGGCCTGGCCTTTAGTACTAAAACCTTAGAGTCATGACATTAGTCTTCTTCACTGCTTTTGCAGAGTTAATTTTCTAAATGAATTCCACTGAGAGAATTCAATTTGGTTGCTATTTGGTATTGTATTTTATCTTCCAAAGGAAATAATATAATTATATTCTGGGAAACTATTATGCATGAACATTACAACTTGGTGTCAAATAAATAGGAAACAGAAAATCTTTATTTATTTATTTATTTATTTATTTATTTTTTTGAGATAGAGTCATACACTGTCGCCCAGGCTGCAGTGCAGTGGGGCAAACACAGCTCAATGCAGCCTCAACCTCCTGGGCTCAAGTGATCCTCCCTTGTTAGCCCCCCAGGTAGCTAGGACTACAGGCATGCGTCACCATACCTAGCTAATTTTTTAAAAAAAATTTGGTAAACACAGGGTCTCGCTATGTTGCCCAAACTAGTCTTGAACTCAGGCTCAAGTAATCGTCTTGCCCTCACCTCCCAAAGTGCTGGGATTATAGCCATGAGCCTCCATGTCCTGCTGAAAATCTTTTTTTGAAAGTTCGTTTTTGAAAAAGCATTAAAGCAGAATAGAGGAAAAAATAAAAAGTAAATTTGTCATCTAACAGGAGGAGAGTTATGAGTGTTTGTTTAGTCCTTTAACAAATAGGTTTGCTCTGTTAGGTTCTTGAGATACAGTGTTGAACAAAGCAGGCAATATGTAACTGAGCCATAAATTGTTAATTCAGTTACTAGTTACTTTTGAATGATTGCATATCACATCCGTAAGGTGTGCTAGGCCCCAAATTAAAGTAATATTAATATAAAATATACTTGGTCTTCAAAAAGCTTAGTCTAGCTATAAAATGTGAGAAATTCTTAAAATGAAGGGTGTTCAAAAGATTCTAGGAGGGGCATAAAGAAGGGTGGAGATGGCTCTTGGCTAGGTCTTGAAAAATGAGTAGGAGTTCACCAAAAGAAGAGAATGGTGGATGAGTGGTACTCTAGTCAAAGGTAGGCACATGCAAGCAGAGGCAGGGCATCATAAAAGTAAGTGGTATGTTTTGAATACAGCAAAGTAGATTTGGCTAAAGCATAAGATGTGGGAGGAATAATTGAAAACAGGACTAAAGAGCTGAGTGGGGGAAAGTGGACAGTTGGCGTTGGAGTATAGAGAGTCATGCTAGGGTTTTTGAATCTTAACCTGTAAGTAGTGCAGAGCATCACCAGTGTTTATTAAAAAGGGTAACATGAGAAGATAACTCGGGTAACATGAGAAGATAACTCAGGCAACAGTGAGTATGTAGACTTGCGGAAAAAAGACGCAAGGAGAGCAGTTAAGAGCTTATTACCAAAGTCTGTGTGAGCCTTGAGAACCTGAAAGCAGCCAAAAGAAAGGAATAAATGTTAGAAATATTAGCAATAGAATTAAAAGTCATGGGAACTATTTGAAAATGCAGCATGAAGGAAGAGGTAAAGGAAGCATCAAAGACAATTCAGGATTCTAGCTTGGATGATTGGTTGGATGTTGATATGTAACCAAAATAAGGAATGTAGGTAAAAAGGACCAGGTTTGTTCGGAAAAAGATGGCGGTCAGGATTTGGACCTGTTGGGGTCAAATTTGGCTACACTGAATTTGAGGTCTCTGTGAGTTATCTAAGCAGATATACCTAATAGGCATCAGGTAATTTGGGTCTTTTCCTCAGAATAAAGAATATAAAGATTTGGGAGCCATCAGCATTTGAGGTAATACCTATCCAGCACATCAGTGAGCTAAGGAGAATAAGTATATCAAAAAAATAAAAAATATTGAAGGCAGAACCCTGGGGGACAACATTTTTAAAAGATGAGGACATGTGTGTTAAGGGCTAAAGCTAGGGAGAGATCCAATGAGTTAAGAACTGAAGTAAAGGCCAGTAGGTCTTGTTATTAGAAGTTGATAAAGAAGAATTAGGATGACATAGAAATTAAGAAAAAAATAATTGAGCTTTGGTTTTGTGGAGTTTTGTCAGGGTCTGAAGGACTGGGTAGGATATCTAATACTGTAACTGAATGAATGGAAAGACACTTGTGCTAGATCATTCTGGCCCGAGAGAGGCCCCAGGGAATAAGAAGAATATACTGGATAAAAGAGAATTGTATAGAGTCAGCATCTTCTACGGCCAGTCACTGTTCTTGGCATTGGAAATAGAGCAATAAATACAATAAAGCATCTTCTTTATGGAGCTTTCATTCTAGTGAATGAGGCGGAGAGGGCAGGGAGGATAACAATACACAAGTAACTTCATAAAATGTCTATCACAGTTGCTCTGGAGGAAAGCAAATCAGAATTTTTATACAAGTAGTATGGGCAGGCTTCACTGATAGGGTATTACTAAGCAGAGTGCTGAATGAAGTGAGAAGTGATCCATTACAAAACTAAAACATTGAAGAGCTTGATTTTTCTTTATGTATAAGTAATTTTTTATTTATTGAGTAATCTTTCTATTCTTTTCCTTAGGCACTGTAAGAAGATTCCTAGAGATTCATGGGGAAACCATTGAAAAAGTAGTATTTGCTGTCTCTGATCTTGAAGAGGTATTTTGCTAACTGTTACGTTATTTAAATCTTATTTCTATCTTTAAGCATTTGACTTTGGCTTGTCACTACATATTTACTGAGTTTCCAGCAGACAAATCCTAATGATCTATGTATGTATTTGACAGTGGGTCTTACAATCATTCATTGAAAAAGACTATATTGGAAACTAAAAATAAGTCAAGAAGGAGCATTTCGTTCATATTTTTTATAACTGTTGTTGCTGTAAGTGAAATCGTACAAAGTGGAGTTGTTCTGCTTGGCCCTTGTGTTAGCTCTCAAAGCAACACCTTCTAAGCACTGCGTGTTTGGGGAGCATAACTGGAAAACTACTGTGCCAGAAAAGCTTTGGTGTCTGCCTGACCAGGTGACAGCCTAGTCTAGTGGCTGGCACTGTGAGGTTTATGTGTTTTGTTATATGTAGTTAGGTTTAATATATTTCAACTTAATTTCAAACCATTTTAGAAAATCAGTTTATTCTTATCTCATTACACTTTATTTTAGAGTGCTTTGTCTAATTCAGCTTCCAATATTTCCAAGTTTTGTATTATTGAGCAAGTTAACCTCTCTGCTTCAGTAAAATAGAAATACTGATAGTACCTCTATCAGGTTTTTCTTGATAATAAAATAAGCTAATACATTCGTATTAGCTATCTATTAGTGAAGTATCTATTCAAGGCATATATAGCTACATATATAACATATATATGTACTTTTGAATTTGCTGAAAAAAGGCACATTTACTTTATCTCGTTTCATCTGGTTTATTTATACATAGAATCTTCCAGTGATCTTTTACTGAGTGTTAGCATGTAACAGGTTTGCTATATTAGGTCCTGGGAATACACCAGTGAAAAAATCATGGTTGTTTCCTCAAGGAGCCTTTATCATTTTGTGGAAATAGATAATTCAGATAAATTCAGATAATTGTGATAAGTGCATTAATGGAGGTGTGGGAAGGATAGGACATAACTTTAGCCTGGCACGGGGTTAGGAAATGCTTCCCATAGGAAGTGATACATAAGTTGAAATAATTGTAAAAGGTACATAAGATTTGCCGAGGGAGAGAGGCAAATGACAGCGGTCATACAAGCCTGAGCAAAGGCATAGAAATAAGACATAGCATCAAGTGTTTAGTATTGCTGTTGCATAAAATGTGAGGCTGAGAGTGGCGAAAATGAAAGTTAGATAAGGATAAGATCATTCAAGGCCTTGTGTCACATCCTGTAAAATTTAGACTTTATTAATTATGCAGTGGGAAACAGAAGAGCTTTACACAAACAAATGATGTCATCTAATTTCTGTTTTAGCTGTGTGGAGGATGATTTGGAAAGGGAAAGACTAATGGCAAGAAGAGATAACAGGTGGTTGCAGTACTCCACATGAGAAATGATCAGGCCTGAACAAGGGTACTGGTAGTGTTAAAATTTTAAACATTTAGTAAATAAGTTCAACTGGAGTTGGTGGTTGATTAAATACATACGGGAAAAGGAGTTAAACATGACTTCTAGGTTTTTGGCTTGAGTGACTAAATAATGATGCCACCATTGAGATAGCAAATAGAAAGTGGGAAAAGTTTTGGAGATGGGATGAAGACAAATTATTTTCTGAACACGTTGAGTCTTAGAGGATCAGTGGATCATCAGGGCAGAGGCTCAGCGAACCATTGTGCTTATCAGTTTGAAGCTGAGGAGTGAAGTCTAGGTTAGAGATTTGTGCATTTTCATAGGATAGGATACAAATGAGATATGGCTCTTGCTCTCAGGGAGTTGGCGGACTAATGCTGAGACAGCCAGGTAAACAAAGATCACCCTACAGTGTGCCAAATGCTCTGCTAAGGTATGCACCACAGTGCCGTGGCAACTTACCATGACACCTGACCCAGATTTAGAGGAACAGAGAATAAAAGTCTTTGCCCTCAGTATACCTGGGAAAATAATCAACATTTACCATCTTTTTCTCAAAAGTCATTTGTGAATAATTTATGAATAAAGGGATAATGAAAAACAAGTTTATTAGACATTTTAGTAGAGGTATTAGACATTTACCTCTTTGTATCAAGTAAATACTGTTGCACAAACATAAAAGATGAAAGAATACTGTCACACATCCTCTTAGTAAAATGAGATTGTCCAGGTTCCTATCACAAAATAGTATGTGATTAAGTTCTTCCTGTTGAATGACTGAATGAAAATACCATATTTCCTTTTTGTCCTTAGAAAGACACAATGGCTCATGCCTGTAATCCCAGCACTTTGGGAGGCTGAGGCAGGTGGATCACCAGAGGTCAGGAGTTCAAGACCTGCCTGGCCAACATGGCGAAACCCCATCTCTGCTAAAAATAAAAAAAAATTAGCTGAATGTGGTGATGGGTGCCTGTAATCCCAGCTACTAGGGAGGCTGAGATATGAGAATCACTTGAACCCAGGAAGCAGAAGTTGCAGTGAGCTGAGATTACGCCACTGACTTTAGTCGGGGTGACAGAGCAAGACTCTGTCTCAAAAAAAAAAAAAGAAAAAAAAATCATAAACTCATAGATTATTGAATTTGAGAAAGATAACCTAGAATATTGTTGTCTGAAGACTCAGAGTCTGAGATTTTACCTTATACAGTAAATCTTATGATCATCATTAGAGGGCTGCTGTCTCCTTACATTCATCTTTGATTTATTTAATGATTCCAAAATGTTTTCTTCATTTGTCTTCTCTTTACTATTATGGACTGCAAATAAAAAATTACGAATTCTCAACTCTGTCCAGTAAAGTTAAAAATATACTACCTGCCAGAAAACTATAGAGCAATATCTCTTATGAATAGAGATGCAAAAATTATCAAACCAAATCCAGCAACATACAAAAGAATTGTATACTACCCCAAAGTAGGACTTATGTCAGGAATGCAAGGTTAATTCAACATACAAGAATCTGAATCAATGTAATATATCATACTAATAGAATAAAGGATAAAAACCACAGGACCATCTGAATAGATGTAGAAAAGAACATTGAAAAAATGTAACACTCTTTCTTGATAAAAACAGTCAACAAACTAGGAATAAGAGAGAACTGCTTCAGCCTGAAAAAGGGCATCTATGGGAAACCCATAGCTAACATACTTAATGGTAAAATACTGAAAGCTTTCTGCCTAAGATCAGAAAGAAGACAAAGATTTTTGCTCTTGCCAGTTCTATTCAACATTTTACTAGAGTTTCTAGTCAAGACATTTGGCTAAGAAAAAGAGATAAAAAGCACCCGAATTGAAAAGAACGAAGTAAAAGTATCTTTATTTGCAGACGGCATGATCTTATCAAAAATCCTAAAGAGTCCATGCCAAAAAAAAACCAAACAAACACTGTTAGAACTAATAGAGTTCCAGTGGGGTTACAGGACATAAGATCAATATGCAAAAATAAATTGTATTTCTACACACTAACAATGACCAATCCGGAAACAAAAATTAAGAAAACAGTTCTACTTAGAGTAGCATCAAAAAAAGAATCAAATATTTGAACTATACTTAACAAAAGAACAGTAAGATTTGTACATTTAAAACTATAAGACCTCTTTGAAAGAAAATGTTAAAAACACAAATAAATGGAAAGACATCTATGTTCACAGATTAAAAGACTTAATGTTGTTAAGATAACAGTACTGACCATACTCCCTACATTATATTACAGACTTAATTCCTATCAAAATCCCAACTCATTTTTTGCAGAAATTATCAAGTTGATCCTAAATTTCACATGGATATGCAAGAGACCCAGAATAATCAAAACCATTTTGGAAAAAAAGAACAACATTGGAAGATTCACACTTACCAATTTCAAAACTTACTACAAAGCTGTAGTAATCAAGACTGTGGTACTGGCATAAGGATAAACGTATAGGTCAGTGGAATGGAATTTCTGACAGTGGTTTCAAGACAATTTAATGAGGGAAAGAATAGCCTTTTCAACGAATAGTATTGGGACTACTGGATATCCACATGCCAAAGAACAAAGTTGTATTCCTACCTTATAGCAGATACAAAAATTAGCTCAAAAGGAATCTAGGACCTCAATGTAAGAGCTAAAGTTATAAAACTCTTAGAAGAAAGTGTGGGTATAAATCCTCTTGATTGTGGATTAGGCAGTGGTTTATTAGATATGGCACCAAAAGCACAAAAAGCCAAAATGAAAGTGGATAAATTAGGCACTCTTACAATTCAACAAAAGACAAATAAGCAAACTAAAAAGTGAACAAAAGTTTTGAACAGACATGTTTCATGCCTAGGTTTTAATTTACAAAGGTGACTGAGTGATGAGACAAAGAGGTCTATGGCAAGAAACATTGTTTAAAAGAAAGAAAGAAAGAAAAGTTTAATATTTTGCATAGTTCTGCTAGAAAAGAGAGGCATGGGTGCTATGCAGGGCCACGGGAGGAACAGTAGGTTTCAGTCAGGAGGCAGAAGCAGGAGTGTGAGGAAATCCTGAGCCAGAGCCTTTATTGAGTTTTCCTTGGGAAAGGCAAGGCAGGGCAGGACTTACAGTTTAGGACTGGCTAGTTTGAATAATTCCAGCAGACTCTGGGCTATAGGAGTAATCTCTAGATTCCTGATACCTGGCCCTGGATGATTTAGACCAGGAGAAATATTTGCATGGTGTGTAAGAGTTAGATACGGAAATGATTAGGACTGTAGATTTGGGATTGGTTGGTTGGCATATGCAAGATGTGCTGTTTACTATCTTTAGGAATTAGTTATCCCTTACAGGGACAGTCTTCCCAGGCCAGAAAGCTTTAAGATGTGAAAACATGATAAAATAGAAAAAAAAAATTAAACATAATTAACATACATTTATTTGAAGAAGATACACAGCCAGTAAACACTGAAAAGGTGCTCCACACCATTAACCATTAGAGAAATACAAGTCAAAACCACTATGGATACCACTTCACACCCACTAACATGGCTATAATTACGAAGGGAGACAATAACAAGTGTTGGTGAGGATGTGGAGAAATTGGAACCCTCGTAGATAGTTAATTGGAATGTAAAAATGGCACAACTACTTTGGAAAACAGTCTGGCAGTTCATGAAAAAGTTAAACATAGAGTTACCCTATAATGCAGCAGTTTGACTGTTAGGTGTATACAGAAGAGAATTGAAAACATAAGTCCACACAAAAACTTGTACACAAATATCTGTAGTAGCATTATTTATAATTGCCAAAAAGTAGAAACAACTGAAATGTCATCAGCAGATAAATTGATTAAAAAAAAATGTGGTGTGTGTATGTGTGCGTGCATGTGTGTTAGAATATTATTCAGCCGTAAAAAAGGAATGAAGTACTGATACATGCTACAACATGGGTGAACCTTGAAAACATCATGCTAAATGAAAGAAACCAGACACAAAATGCCACATACTGTATTCCATTTTTATTTTTATTTATTATTTATTTTTTGAGACGGAGTCTCACCCTGTTACCCAGGCTGGAGTAGAGTGGCACGATCTCGGCTCACTACAACCTCCAAATCCCAGGTTCAAGCCGTTCTCTTGCCTCAGCCTCCCAAGTAGCTGGGACTACAGGCACCCGCTACCACCCCCTGCTAATTTTTTGTATTTTTAGTAGAGACGGGGTTTCACTGTGTTAGCCAGGATGGTCTTGATCTCCTGACTTCGTGATCTGTCCGCCTCGGCCTCCCTAAGTGCTGGGATTATAGGCGTGAGCCACCGTGCCCGGCCTTTTTTTTTTTTTTTGAGATGGAGTCTCACTCTGTCACCAGGCTGGAGTGCAGTGGCGCAATCTCGCTCACTGCAACCTCCACCTCCCGGGTTCAAGTGATTCCCCTGCCTCAGCCTCCCGAGTAGCTGGGACTATAGGCACGCGCCACCACGCCTGGGTAATTTTTTATATTTTAGTAGAGACGGGGTTTCACCATGTTGGTCAGGTTGATATCAATCTCCTGACCTCGTGATACCTCCACCTCAGCCTCCTAGAATGCTGTGATTACAGGCATGAGCCACTGTGCCTGGCCCTGTATTCCATTTTTATGAAATGTCCAAAAATAGGCAAATTCATAGTGACAGAAAGATTAGTAATTGCCAGGTGTGGGAGAGGGAGGAATGGTGAATGATTTCTGATGGGTTTTAGAGTGATGAAAATGTTCTGGAATTAAATAGTGGTGGTGATTGTACCCCCTTGTACCCCCTTTGTGAATACTGTCTGTGAAAAACCACTGAAACTGGGTATGGTGGTGTACACCTGTAATCCCAGCTACTTGGGAAGTTGAGATGGGAAAAATGCTTGAGTCCAGGAGTTTGAGAACAGCCTGGGCAGCATAGCAACACCTCATCTCAAAAAAGAAAACGAAAACAAACACTGAATTTTGTACTTTAAAAGGGTGAATTTTATGGTATGTGAATTCTGTCTCAGTTTTTTTTTAAAGATTGTATCTCAGTTTTTTTATAAAGGCTATAAAGATGATGTCTGCAATCTTATATATGTATTTAAAAGATGATGCAATACTATGGGCAACACAATATGAAAATGAAAGAAAATGATTTCTTGAATGATTTCATTGTCCTAGGTGATTCCATAATTTTTTTGTTACTATTTTATTTCAGTCTTTTTTAGTATAGTTTGTAATAATTGATGAGTAATTCTAGGTAATGAGAAAACAATTCCTAGGAAGATGAAAATGCAAAATGCTTCAAGATATAGGACAAATAAGAGCACTACATGCCTTTAATGTATTGCAGATTTATTAGTCCAGTGGACCAATCGATATGGGAATTACAAGATAAGATGAGTTTTATTCTGTTTGGTTTTTTTTAAGTAAAATTCATCTTTTTTCTTTGAAAAAAACTTTTAAGAAAGAATAAACATCATGAAAGAGAAATCCTTCACAAACAACTCAGAAGCTAAACATGGTTGAACGGACCCTGATGGCACACTGAGGGTTAAGGAAGTAGCTAGCATCTGAGCCAAGTCTTGAGAGACTGGTATCATTAGGAAGTGAAGGTACGGATGGGGACAGGAGTGGCAGGACTTATGCATTCCAGGTTCAGTGACCTGGAATTGTTAGGATGGGCATCACATTTAACTTGGCTAGATAACAATATCCTTATCTTTAACACAAAAGCTGATTGAGGGTTTCAGACAGTATCGAGTCTGAGCTCAGAAGTGGTAAAGTCTTTATTCTTGATGGAGGTTGTCTTCACAGTGTATGAACAGCACTAAGTACTGCTGAGGTCTTCTTTGTTTTGTTCTATTTTTCACAGAATGTCTTGCTTTTCTGACACAGGGTACTTACCAAAAGCTGCTACCTCTCTACTTCCCAAGGTCATTAAAAGAGGAGAATCGATCATTGCCCTACCTACCTGCAGATATTGGAAATGCAGAAGGGGAGCCTGTGGTACCTGAACGACAGATTAGAATAAGTGAGAAACCTGGTGCTCCAGAAGGTGAGTTCTAGAGCTCTAACTTTTTAAATCTCCCTCTTAGGGCCAAAAATAGGCACCAATCACCAAAGAAGTAAGAAATTCAGCTTGACCTTTGGAAAGCTCTCTATTACCATGACTACTATCAAGACCAGTTTAGAAGTTTTCAAGTTCTATTCTTGAAATTAAAAATAAAAGTATAGCTAGATAGATATACGTCAAGTCTGTGTTAGACAGTGGGGATTAAGAGGTGGCTATAACAACATTCTCACCCTAATGGAGGTTATAGTTTCATGCAGAACACTGTTGAGATAGTAAAGTACGTTATTGTCTAACATTTTAAACAGCTTTCAGTATCCTCTAAAAATCATACTTAACATTAAATACTAAGACAAGAATATTATAACCATTCATTTTGTTTCTTTGGGTTATATACTGTTGTAGGTTGGAGCAGTAGGTAGAACGTGTTAGGATGGGGGCCTTCTGAATCTGCTCTGTGTGACATCTTGTAGTGATGTTCATGTGTACATGTTTAAGGTCTTAAGTCCCTTCTGTGGAGATATGCCTCACAAGCTTCAGTGCTGGGACTGAGTCTTGAAATCCAGCAGTTTAGGGAATTACTGTGAAATTCCTAGAGTGAACATTTCTTTTAAAAATGAGCACCAAGCCAAAATCTTAGGAAGCAACTCAAGATTTTATCACAAGTACATAAACTTTAATCAACTGGAGGGAATTATAAGTGGTCTAACATCAGGAAATGTGAAATATCTGGAAACCAAACTTTGCTGAAGGGGTAGTCATGCACTTTGGGTGAGCCTCCAGTATAGTATATCCTTGAAATAATGCAAAGAGTTGTTTTGAAATCCTCATGCCTGTGACTACCATAGAATTTTTCTTTCATAAAATGCATTTAGTGTGATAATGAGTGGTGAACAGCAAAACCACTTTGAGTGCTGGACAGTAGATAAGACTAATTAATTTGCAAGAAGATTCTCTTCTGTCCACCATTCCCAGAGTGTTTTATTTGCATTCATATCTCAGAAAATACTTTTTGTGATAGATGTAGGCCTTAGCATTCTTAAATATTTTCAAGTAGAATGTTAAATCGTATCTCAGAAAATACTTTTATGTTATAGATATAGGCCGTAGTGTTCTTAAATATTTTCAAGCAGAATGTTAAATCTGTTAAAATATATATAACCAAGCTTTACTTGAGGGGTGTTTTTAATGAAAGCAGGCCCTTCCAATCTATTGGCCTGTCAGTTTGAGGAGCAGTGAAGTAGACGTGGGGAAACTCCAGCTGATTGTCCACCAGGTTGGAATTCAAGTGCTGGCATTGCCTTGGGAATTTCCCCATGGTACGACGTTTGTTTTGTTTTGTTTTTGCTTAACAGATCTACCAAGACAGTGAATACCACACTAAGAGATAATCTGTTCCCAAGAGACTGATTTCTACTAATCCAACTCACAGTGTTTGTATGGACAGATTAGAAAGTTAATTTATTAATTTGTAGTGAAAACTATAACTCTTATGGACCAAAATAACTAGGTTGGTATGACAGTGTAGAAAACCAGGATGCTAAATTATAACTGAAATATTTCTTAAGGAATGTGGATCATACTCTGTGATCCTGGTACATCCATGTTGGGATGTCACCTTACAGAAGAGCATTTATGCAATCAAATGCTTCCTCCTTCAACAGTGCTATATAAACCTTCCCAAATGCTTGTTTTTTATACTTCTTTTTTGTCAGATGCTGTGCAATGAGCCATCTTTAAAGCCAGATACAATCTATTTACTTCTGTCTTTTTGTGTGTGACTACATTCTACTCTTTTCTTCCTAGGGTTACACCCAGGTCACCCTGATTGGATTTCACATATTGCTAAAACCTTTGTCACACATGGACAGGCAGTTTCTTTCATTATTTCAGCTTTACAAATGCCTAAATCTGATTACAGTTTCATTCTCAAAAATAACCTTGACCCCAGTTTTTTGAGTTACCTCACTGTCATCCTTACTGCAGCATTCACAATGTTTACTATCTAGTTTTAGCATAAGCTCTCTATTGATAGTTGCATTTTTGTTACAGATAACCAAGAAGAGGAGGATGAAGGCTTGGGAGTTGATCTCTCTTTCATTGGCTCTCATGCTTTTGCTCGAATGGAAGGAGATATTGACAAGCAAAGAAAACTGATCCTTCAGGGACAATTATCAGAGGCAGCTCTGCAGAAGCAGCATCAAAGAAAGTAAGACAACCCTTCAGGACTGTTAGATACATAAGGACATCAGAAGCAAGAAAGGAACCTTGCATCTGATGCATGAGCTACGTGTATATATAATGCATTCCAATTTATTTTTCATGACAATCAGTGAGGAAGATATCGTCCTCATTTTGGAGGTGCAAAAACTCAAAGTTAAGAAAGTTATCAGTGGCCACAGTTAATATGTGGTGAAACCAGTGGTCAGATACATGTCTGATTTCAGAGCTCCTACCCTGTCTACTACAATAGTAATGCCTCCATGCGAGGTTTATATTCTAAAAGGAGAAATTAGAAAAGGGAAAGGCAGTTATAAAGCTTTTACTTAGCTCTACTATGTTTATAATTAAAGCATAATCTACAGTTGAATTAAATTTAAAAGAGCCTTATTTCTCCCTGACTTATCCGAAGGACCTTACAAGACATCCAAACCATTCCATTTCTTCCATATGTCTTCTAAAGCAATTTTGAAGGAATCCTTTTAAAAACATAGAAGCAGCTTTGTACTTTTGGGTAAGCTTTCCCAAAGATCAAGTCTTTGTAAAGCTGGCTGCTTTTCAAAAAAGTCTAAAGAAAATTAAAGTAAACAAACTATAAATGTCTACTATCCATTACCTTATAGGGTTGATGGAGGGTTAGCACCTCATAGGGTTTTTGTGAGCATTAAATGAGGTAATGTAATGAGCTTTAGCACAGAACCTGGTACTTGTCAAGCTCTTAAAATTGTTCACTGCTGTACTGAGCAAATCATGGCTTGTTTTATCTTTGAGCTTTGGTACTTGCCATTCCTTTTGAATGGGCTACTCTCATCCTTCAATTTCTGTCCAGATTTCAAAAGCAGTTGCCTCTGGAGACCTACCTCCCAAGTCTGGAACAGATGCCACCTCCTGTATGCTTTTTTCATACCCTGTACTCACCCAAAGCATAGCATAGCATTTTTCACGCTGTATTGTAATGATGTCTGCATGCTATCTGTCTCCACTGATAAAGTGGGAGTTGGACTACATGAACTCTCCAGTCACTTTCAGAACTAGTATTTTGTGTCTCCTCAATCCCAGGTCTTCCTTTATTCTGATTTTAATTTGAAAAACAAAAGCGTATGAGCCACTAGGGGGCACCAAGGAACAGCTTTTCCAAGTGAGGCAGTCACAGTCAAATGATACTTTCAGTGGTTTCTAAACTTGGCCATATGTGTAAGACTCATCTGATGGACATTTTTCATTAAATACGGTGCCTGGGCTCCTCACATTACTGGGATCTGGGACTTCTTTAGTATCGAGTCTCCTTTGCACTCTTAAAAATTGTTGAGGACCCCAGAGAGCTTTTGTTTTTATGGGTTGTATCTATCAATATTTATCACATGAGAAATTATTTATTTATTTTAAAATAACTTTTTTATTGAGAAAGATAGCAGTGTTTTTTTTTAATCTTGCAAATTGTTTAATGTTTGATTTAATGGAAGACAGCCAGATTGTCCTATCAGCATTCAAACTGCTGCAGTAAGTTGTTTTGACTAATGTATATGAAGAAAACCTGACCTCACTGAGATTTTAATTGGAAAATGGAGGAGTATTTTAACAGCCTTTTAAAATAATTGGGATATTCTTCTTTGATACTATACCAGAATTTGATAAATAGTAGTGTTTTAAAACATAGTTGTAATGCAGAATCTCAAACTGTATCCATGAATTTTTTTAATTCTATTATATTAAAATGTGGTGTTCTGTACTTTGGACAGATTTTATAATAGGAATGTATAGCATGACTTTATAACATGATACGTTAGCTTTTTGGAAAGTATTGATTCATTGAATTATTCAGAGCTCCAAGTATTGACACATTTCATTACACAGTATCAAAAAATTATATTTGTTAGTATCGATTGTATAGTATCACCAATCTCATCAGAAAAGTATTTAATATTAGGAACTGTCAAGCTTCTGATGACAATAAAAATGTTTCAAATATGTATATATTTAAAGCTCAAGTTTTATCATTGGCAACAAATACTGTTGATTATTTTTCTTGAAATGTCAGGGTCACTTTATTCATTTTTGGGAAAACACCTGCCACATATTCATGTTGAATAACTACAGTTTGCCAGTCATTCTTTGAAGTAAAAATGGTGTTGCATGAAAAAAAGCAACTAGTCCAGCTCACAACTCAATCAAATAGTGCTTTTCTTCAAGGCAACTTCACACTTCAATATGCAGAAGTACTTTATGTGTTCTTCCATTTTGTCTTCCATTAATTTAAAAAGATGGGTTCTCAAGAACTGATTTAATAAAATTAATAATCTTTACTTCTACATCGAAGACATTCTTAAATGCAGCTGGCCTTTTTTGTTTATTGGTGCCACTGCCTTGATTTGTGGTAAGGCTATTACCAGCTGTTTTTACCCATTAGTTGCTTTTGCACTATCAATGTAAATGTCTATGCAGTGAAAAATGCAAATAATGTTATTACAAAAATAGTTTTAAACTTACAGCCTCCTAAAGGCATTTCAGGATCTCTTTAAGAAAAAAATTGGCCAGACATGGTGGCTCATGCCTCTGTTCCCAACTACACAGGAGGCTGAGGAGCCCAGGAGGTGGTGGAGATTGCAGTGAGCTGTGATCACACCACTGCACTCCTGCCTGGGCGAAAGAGAGAGACCCTGTCTCAAAAAAAAAAAAAAATGTTATTGAGACTTATTTTTCTTTTTCATTCACATTCTCTCACAGTGTTCAATGGAGTTTTCTGGAGGCCACTCACTATGTGATATTACAGTAATTTAAATGCAGACGCACATATGAGAATCTAGCAGAAATTAAAGAGATTTGCAAGTTAAAAAATACAACTCTTCTCTAAATACAGCTTTTTTAAAAAAAGTTATGTTCACAAAATAGGTTTTTCATTGTTTTTAAATTAATGAATATTTTTTAAATTTCTCTGTTTTTATTTCTAATGAGAACTGGTAGATATAAATGACACAAACAAAAGATGTTTAAGGTCCTCAATAATTTATAAAAACATAAAAATGTCTGTGTTTTATATAGATATATTTTGGTCCTGAGACCAAAAAGTTTTAGAATTGATGGCTGTTTATTGAGGAGTTTATGATATAACTAAGCTATGTCAACTGTTTGCATGCTCAGCCGTATTTGAGATTGTAGGTTGTAGTTTTTAAAATTTCTTTCTCTTGATATTTCTAAATCGGGCTTTTATTTTCACATATTGAGTCTGGCTTCTGTTGATTATGTTAATTAATTAGGTTGAACAAATGTAAAAGTAAGTAGGTTTTTAGTTAGTAAATATCTTTTCAAAAGCCTTCAATTCTTCCATCAGTAGCGAAACTAAAGGTCACATGGATTGGCAATAGTTTTATGTCACTCCTTTCGTAGCACTGCCTTGTCACCTCAGTATCTCTTCAAAATAATTGTTTTTAACATGAAAAATTAGACGTGCTTTCTAATCCAGGTCTGTCATCCAGTTGTGATTCTGATTTGGGTGTATCATAAGGTAGACATTGGTTTACTTACCAAAATTAGGAAGCAACCTAGATACTCTTTTTCAAAAATACTGCTTTTGAAACTCTTCAAGTTATTTTACAGGAAGATTTCCTTTCCTTTTTTATTAGTATTACTTGACTGGCTTAAGATTCAATTGCCTGTGACTCTTATGTCATTTTTCTCAACAAAATCATTATCTTTTTCATTATTAAATACTTATTAAGCTTTTACTAATGTGCCAAATGTTGTGCTGGATACTACTGGTAATAAAGTGACAAGCAAGACAGATACAGCACCCGCCTGCATGGAGCTTAGGGTCTTGCAGAGGAGAAAAATGTTAAACTAATTAGTATATGAATAATTGTTTAAATTACTGTACAGGGTCAATAAGAGGATACAACAAAGATCTTAACTAAATCTAGGATGGGTCAATTGTATAAGGTCTGGGAAAGCATCTGCTAATTCCAAAGACAGAATTTTCCCTGGGCGATGATTATACACAGATGGGTTAGTTATTAGTCTTTTAAGAGTGATACAGTTTAAATTTTTTTTGTCATTCAGCTGCTGGCTGTACAGGTGGATGGTAATTTATTAACTGGAAGAAACTGGCTTATATTAGCTTTGTGAGAACAGTGTCCAACCTCAGTTGGTTGCAACCCATTGAGAAACTAATTAGTGTTTCTGCATTTAGAGCACTGTAGTGGCTATTTTTTTCTGCCATTTTGACATATTTTGTACGATTATTTATCCATGATTATTATATTTACTCATAAAATAATAGAAGTTTGTTTATTTGGAATAAGAAAGTACTCTATATAGGATATTTAGGAAATATCCTGTAGGAAACCCAGAAACTATTTTGAGTTCATATTTTCCTTTTAGCTTTGTTTTGATTTTTGGATTGGAACAAAAGATTGCATGTCTTCCTTTAAACAAAACAAAACACTATAGCAAAAAGTGAGGTGCTGTTTATAAGAAATGTAATAGAAAACATGAAATATTCTTTGAATAATGAAGTTTAGAAAAAAAGGAGGGTATTGTCTATTGAGTGAGAAGAGTAACAGTCTTTTTGCTTTTACTCTTTCTTCCCAACTGGTGATTTTTTTAAAATAATGACTAAATAATCAGACTTACACAATCTATAGTGGTAATGGCAGAGACTTAATTAGAATAAAGAAGAAACCTGATGAAGATTGCAATCATGAGTTGTTGCATGGTCCTTAGAAACCAGAACAGGACCAGTGTCTCAGCAGTGATTCTAACCTTTTAAAAATCATGAACCCTTTAAGAATCTGATGTAAACTATAAACTTCTCCCCACAAATATGTTCATAGAGATTTTGTCAACCAAAGTCTATCTTTAGATCTCAAGTTGTTAATCATCAATCAAGGTTTAAACATTTTAGAGTTTATACTAATTCTGTGTTCACACTATGGACAAATCAACTTTAGATAGATTAAGGACTTAAATTTTTAAAAATTCTGAAACCTGTGGAAGAAGTTAAGCTAGTATCCTTCAAACCTTAGAGAAAGGGAAGATTTTTTTAAAGACATGAAAAGCATTTACCACCAAAGAAAAAATAGTTTTGACTATATTAAAATTAAGAACTTTTGAAAGTAGAGCCAAGCTTAAACAAAGTAAAAAGCAAGTTACGGAATGGGGGCAGATATTCACAAAACACACAACAAATGATCAGCATCAAGAATGTGTAAAGAACTACAACTTGGTGAGAAACAATCAAATAACCCAATAAAAAATGGAAAAATGATAGGAACAGGCATCTCATAGAATCAAGTCAACATGAGCAGAATCTCAACCTCATTACTGACCAGAGAAATGCTTTACCATTTCTAACCTATCCAACTGGCAAACACTAAAACATCTAATAGTAGCAAGTGTTGGTGAGGACAGGGATTCACAGTCTCATATGCTTCTTATAGAAGTATAATTTGGTGCAATGCTTTGGAAAAGAGGTTTGTCCTTATCTCCTAAAATTAAACATTCCCTGTAACCTAGCACTTTCACTCATTGGTACCTACTCAAGAGCAATCATGCACATGTATACCAGGAGACACGCAAAACAAGTTGATTGTAGCCCTCTTCACAATAGCAAAACCCTGGAAACAGCCCAAGTGCCCATCAGTGAGAGAGTGAATGAAAAAAATCTATAGTTTTTATCTAGTATGAATACATGATATATACAGATTAAGTATGCCATATCCAAAATTCTTGGGACCAGAAGTGTTTCAGATTTCTGATTTGTTTGGATTTTGAAATATTTGTATCGTACTTACCAGTTGAACATCCCAAATCCCAAAAATCCGAAATGTTCCAGTGAGCATTTTTGTTTTAATTGTTATGTTGGCACTCAGAAAGTTTTGGATTTTGGAGCATTTCAGATTTTGTATTTTTGGATTTGGGATGCTCAACCTGTGATTGTCCAAATCAATCAACGACATTGAAATCCAGTGATACGGATGAATGTTAGCAATATGATAAGTCAAAAATGTAAGACCCAAGAGATTACATACAGCATGATAAGCTTTTTTAAATAGTTAGAAACAAACAAAAAATAATGTCTTACATTGACTACATGTAGATGAATTTAAAACAATATAAAAAGGAAAGCAATAAATGATTAACCTGGAATTCCAGATAACGGTGGGAAGTAGCACATGGTTAGATGAAGGTTATTGTGAAAGTGCTAATTTTTGTTATAGTGGTAGATTTTAGGGTGCTTATTACTTCATTAAAGATAAATAATTATATAACTAGTCTTCTAAGTGGACCATGCATATACCAGTTATGCGAGTGTTTTCAATTAAAGATGATGTATTCCATTTTGTACACCTGAGTTCCAGTTAAAAAAAATTTTTTTCAGAGTTCATTGAATATAGATAGATATAGATATAGATATAGAGATTGAGTGTCAGGAACTACCCTAGGAATTGGCTAGAAATGAGAGACAAATATGACATATTGTCTATCTGGTGGTCTAATGTAATAGAAATAGCCTTTTCAATAAGTGTGTAAAATCTTGCACTGAACATGGTAGAAGTCTTTGGGGATACAAAGAAGGGAGCATTTGTTTCTACGACATGTCTAGAATTTGCCTCCACTCTGCTCCTTCTCACCCCACCTCCTTCCCCACCACCAGTCCCCTTCTCAGCATACATATTTGATTGATAGAGTATTTAGACTTCTGGTTACCTGTCTTGTTCTTATTACAAAGTTAATTTTCTTCGTACTGTAATATGTCTGTCTCACATATGCAACCTTAAACTCAAGAGCCTTTTTTAATTCATCTCAGGCCCCAAAATACCTTACATAATACTCATGTTTATTATTTCATTTAGCAAAGAATTTAGTACCTACTATGATGCAAACACTGCATTTATTCAATAAATCTTTGAAAAATGAGCCAATGGATACATGAACAGAGTATAGAAGTTAATAGGTATTAATTGAATCCTGTTATATGCTTTGTGCTAGATACTGTGGTGCCCATATGATGTAATATACATTTTGCTGTTTAGTCTCATTATAAACAATTAGTATATAATAGAATGATTTAAAAAACATAATAAACTCTATACTTTTATTCTTCACTGCCACATTTTTGATGTCATAATTTACGTTTTTATATTATTTTTGTCTCTTAACAAATTATTGTTGCTATTATTAATAGTTTTGTCTTTTAACCTTCATACTAAAGATATAAGACAGTATGTTAAGTGAAATAAGTCAAGCACAGAAAAACAAATATAGCATGATCTCACTTATATGTAGAACCTAAAAAAACTGAACTCAGAAAAACAGAGAATAAAGTGGTTATCAAATGCTGGTGGTATTGGGGTGGGATTGGGGAGATGTTGGTCAAAGAATACAAAATTTCAGTTAGACGAGAGGAATAAGAGATTTATTATATAATACGGTGACTGTAGTTAATAAGAATGTGTTGTATACCCGAAAATTGATAAAAGAATACATTTTAACTGTTCTCACCAAAAAAAAATGATAAATATGTGAGATAATGGATATGTTCATTAGCTTGATTCAGCCATTTTACAATGTATCCGTATATCAATACATTACATACATTATTTGTCAAAGAAAATAATTTTTTAAGTAAAGAAATAGAATTTTGATTTAGTGTAAATAGGAAATGACTGTATGAAAATATGGAATAGTGCATATGATTTAGGGAGAACTACAATAAACATAGGCATTTTCTTGACTTTGAAATTATATTTTGAAACAAAATTAAAAGCTACTGTCTTTGACTTTTCAATTTGCATAGATTGGTAAATCACAAATTTGAGAAGGCAGTCTATAGAACTAATGCAGTAACACTGTGTTTTTTACAAGCAGTAACAATATCTGTGAAACTAACAGGCATGTCACTTGTTGATTTCAGTCTGTATGTGACAGACTTCCCATTAAATATTTTCAGTTGTGCAATTGTACTTTATAGCTGAAAGGTGTCCCTCCCATATGAACACCATTTTGCAGGTGAGGAAACTGAATTCCATAAAGGTAAATGACTTTAGTAAGTTTGCACCGAAAGCAGTAGGATTAGAAGCCAAATCTCCCCTCTCCTAGTTGTGCTTTTTGTTGTTGTTGTTACTGGATATTGCCATATATGATTTAGACACTTCAGAGTTGCTTTTCCTACATTTAGGTGTCTTGAAAGCGTTTTCACAATCAAGTAATTGGCACTTTTAATTTCAAGAAATTAGTATGATATAGTAGAAAAAGCACTGACCTTTCCGGAAATCTAGAGACCTGAGTGCAACTTCAAATTCAACTCTACTATTTAATAGGCTGGGAAGTCTGAGATGAACTTGACCATTAATCTTTTGCATGTCATTTCCATCTGCAAGATCTTTAATGTCTCTTCCAGCTTTAACATCCTCTTAGCCAAAGCCAAACTGCAGTCCATATGATCTGGTCTGTGGGATATCACTACAACTAGTTTGACTAACTGATGATTAAATATTCCAGGACTTCCCAGATAAATTTACCCAACTCCTTTGTGATCCCACATAACATGTACAGCACTTGCCTGTTTTTCCCCTGAAAAGTGAACTTCTTGAGGGAGGCAACCATGTCCTTTCATGATAGTATTCTCAGTAACTATCATAGAGTAAGCACTCAAATCCTTGTTGAGTGAGTGAGCATCTGTTTTGAAACTCTGCCATTGCTTTAGACTTTCTCTATGCATGTTTTTAGTAAAGGAAAACAATAGTATTTTAAAACAAGGTTAGTTTGAATACTTGGTATCTTAGCCATTTACCTGTACAACCTTCATTTGATTATAAGGATTTTTAAAATAATGAACACCTTCCTTTCTCAATAATTCATTTGTGTTTATTTTATCAATAACATGTAGTAGAGATTCTACATGGCTTAATGCTTCTTTAACTCCTTCCCTATTATAATGAAATATATACTTGAAAATTTTTAGGGTCAGGGAAGGGTATTAAAAATTGGTCCCATTTGTAAATTTAATTTCCAAGGGTTTATTATAATGATTATATCATTTATTTCCCTAGTTATAATCGCTGGTTATGTCAAGCAAGATCTGAGGATCTGTCTGATATTGCTTCTCTAAAAGCCTTATACCAAACAGGTGAGCTTAAATATATGGTAACTTATTCTTTCACTAATTAAGAGCCCTACCAAGCATGCTATTTGAGAATTCATTTTTCTCTGATTTCATTTATTGTATCTATGAACAAAATGGTTTTGTACTAATAAAGATAGTTTTGCCTGTCATCAAGATCTTAAAAATAACATCCCAATCTATAACATTTTCAACTTACAGTTCTGCATTGGCCAACTTTATTTCATGCTAGTGTCCCTTTTAAAAAATGTTTCTGCTTTTAAAAGTACCATATGCTTGCTACTACAAAATTCAAACCTTACGTAAATATATGATGGAGAGAGTGAAAGTTCCCAGATTCCCACTCTTTCTGCATTGTATTTCTTTTACAGACGGTACTTTTTAGTAATTTTCAGATTTGAGTGCTATTTAGTTTTGCCTGGATCAAAGTTGTAGTGAGCTTAAGCAAAAAGCTGTTTATAAAAAGTTTTTGGGGGCTGGGCATCGTGGCTCATATCTGTAATTGCAGCACTTTGGGAGGTGGAGACAGGAGGATCATTTGAGACCAGGAGTTCAATACTAGACTGGGCACCATGGTGAGACCCCATCTCTACAAAATAATGAAAAAATTAGCCAGGTGTGGTGGTGCATGCCTGTAGTCCCAGCTGCTTTGGAGGCTGAGATGGGAGGATTGCTTGAGCCCAGGAGTTGGAGACGGAGGCTGCAGTAAGCTATGATCACACCACTGTACTCCAGCCTGGGGACAGAGCAAGATCCTGTCTCTAGAAAATAATAAAATATTTTAAAAGATCTTTGGCTGTTTGTTCTTGATTTAAAATCTTTAAGAGGTCTTCTCTTAAAAGGGCAGTGATCAAAACCCTCATGAAGCTTTAAAAAATAGGTGTTGTCTGCAGAGTAGAAAAAAAATTGGAAGATGAAATTTGAGCAACTTATACTTCCTTGTTTTCAATCTTTTAAATTCACATAGAATATTTTATAAAGTCAGAGCCCAAGACAAATAGTATTCTTGGAATGAAGTTTCTGGGTGCTGATGACATTTCCTGTTTATAGGTGTTGATAACTGTGGTCGAACAGTGATGGTGGTAGTTGGAAGAAACATTCCTGTAACATTAATAGATATGGACAAGGTAAGCCATAAAAAGGCTCTGTTTTACAAACAATGTTGATTGAAAAAATAAGTAGTATATGAATTTGGAATCAAGGCCTACAATATGAATCAAGGCTGAATTGTGTATCACTGACAGAGGAGCAGACCTGGTTCTATGAGTGGACCTGTATCATTTCAGTTCGATTAGGGGTTTGATTTTTCTCTGTCCAAGAAATAAAAAATACTGGAATACAGTAATGTGATCTCCAAAACCACAACTGCTTTGTTTTGGATATGATGTAACTAGTAAGTGGTTGGAATCATTCTGTATTATAATTGTGTAATCAAATTCTTTTTTGAAAAAAGAAAAATTAATGTTTGAGTATCTATTAGAAGAGAAAAAAACAGAAATGTAGTTTACCCAAGATAGCATAATTCTATAATCCCTTCATTTGGAGGCAAAGAACAGAAATAGATGATTCATAAAAGAAAAATGGTTATAACTGGTAGATAAAAATAAGAAAATATTCAATGTGATTAGTAGTCCAAAAAAGGTGAATTAAAATGAGATGCCTTAACTCTTAAATAATTATTGTCATCAAAGATGAAACTATAAAAGTGATCACACCCATTAATCTATTAATTTCATTTCTGAAAACTTACACTAAGGAAATAACCCAAAGTGTGGAAGTAGCTATAGGCCCTGACACTATTCAAATCAGAATACTCATACAAGGGACAATTGAACCCACAAGATAATTATGTAGAGAATCCTAGCACATCAGTTTTGTTAGGAACTGACTTCAAAGGATGATAACTTTAACTGATCAGTAATTATTAACCATAGTAAAAAAAAAATTGTATACTTAAAAATGCAAAATTACACAGAATTTAAGATAAACCAGTTGGACAAAAGCTGATAATTACTTCTGGCTAAGTCCTCAAACTCTTAGGCACTGTTGTTGGGTAAAAAAAACTGTGAAAGCACTGAACCAGGCATATTATTCACAGGGTCATTTGTAGCAAAAAGTTAAAACTTAAATTCCTCACAGATAATTATGGTACATTCAAATAGGATATTCTGTGACCCTTATAAATTATGGTTACAGAGGCAAGTACTGTAGAGAAGTGTTTAGAATATAATAGGAGAACAGTGATACATTAATTTGTATCTACATTGACCTTCATTGGGTTTTTTGTTTTTAAGCACAAAAACAAGGAAAATATCTCAAGGAAAGGGATTTCATGGTTTGGGGGAGAATTTGTCTTTCACATTTTTTCGTCATATATAGTGATATAGTTATATAGTGATAAAAACTTAAGAAGTTGAATTTGAAGCCAAAAAGGAGTATCCTAATTGCCCTGGGGTGGGGGGTGGAGAATGGACAGAAAGAAGATGAAGCAGCAATCTGGTAAGAGGATAAAAAAGAATAATAAAGAATAATAAAAATATGCACACAGCCAGGTGTGGTAGTTCATGCCTATAATCCCAGCACTTTGGGAGGCTGAGGCAGGCAGATCGCTTGAGCCCAGGAGTTCGAGACTAGCCTGGGCAACATGGCGAAATCCTATCTCCTATCTATTTTGTCCGAAAAATACAAAAATTAGCCAGGCATGGTGGCACATGCCTGTAGTCCCAGCTACTTGGGAAGCTGAGGCAGAAGGATCATTTGAGCCCAGGATGCAGAGGTTGCAAGATCTCCCAAACCAAGGTCATGCCATTGCACTCCAGCCTGAGTGACAGAGAGCGACCCTGTCTCGAACAAACAGAACACACACACACACACACACACACACACACACGGAGGGAATAAACTGATGAAAATTATACCGTTAGTAAGTTTCTGTTTGTAATCATTTATGTTCTTAATAATCAGTGTGACCCTCATTTTCATAATAATGTGATTAATACAAATAAAACCATAAATCTTTGCATTTGATTTTGGTGTGTACTTGCATGGGGTTCTGGATATTCATGATGTATCATTTCCTGTAAAATATTGAGATAGATGGTGATAATAATAATTGTTACCAAAGCAGGTAATGAATGGAAAGATACTGTGTTTTCTTAATGCCCTTCTCTATCTGCTCTAGTAGCAGTTGGATCCTAGTCCATGTTAATCCAACCATGTTAATGTCAAGGACTCATCTGAAGAGGAATTGGAAAACAGTTTGTTTTACAGTAATCCTTCAGTTGTTACCTCTTAGCTTTTTCTATGTGATTGTTTACAGCTAAACCACTGGGTCATACTGGCCCTGCCTATATTGTATCTCTGTTTTGTTTTTAGTGTTTCTCTTAAATTCATCATTTTTGTAATGGAATATTTCTATAACCAATCTGGGTCACATTAAATTTGAATCTTTCAGAGCTCTAGAAATGCTTCCCAACCTATTGCCATCTACTGATTAAACCTGCTGTCAATGTCCTCCTTCAGATCAGCACTAAAGATCTAAAAAAATTAGCTCTCAACGTGAATCATGTGAGGCACCACTCATTACATCTTTTTATAGTAATTCTTGGTTATGTGCAGGCCATGAGTCTATTTCTGAGTAGAGACTGCAAAGACTTTGATTGAATTCAAGCGGAAACTTCAAAAATGATTAAAAGTATAGAAATTCTACTTCTAATGATTTCGATATCATTGTCCTGGAGAGAGAAAACCTGGTAGTTGATCCAAGAACTTTTTCCAGTATATGAAGAATTGTTTTAGAGGATAGAGACTGATTGTTCTCCTCTATCACTTAGAATAAGACAGAAAGGAATTGTACTGTAGCACTTATGAGAATTATTAAACACTGGGATGATTCACTTTCCTGGAGCTCTTTTTAAAGAGAATGGATATTCATCACTCTGAGTTATCCATTTATGATGACTAGGGCATAGAGTAGGTTAATTTTCTATTTTGTTTTGTTTTGTTTTTTCTTGGTCTCTGTGAAATAGACTACTGTTCAAAATGATCTTCACCTTTATTCCCCTTTTATCTTTTAGGCTCTCTTATATTTCATTCATGTAATGGATCACATTGCTGTGAAGGAGTATGTATTAGTGTATTTTCACACCCTGACCAGCGAATACAATCACCTGGACTCCGACTTCCTGAAGAAACTCTACGATGTTGTTGATGTCAAGTTAGTTATTTTTGCAAATTATGAAGGGGAAATAGTTTCTTTCTTTTCTAATATTAAGCAGTGGCAAACATTGCTTTGTATTCTGTGAAAGGATATTTCATGTAACAAAGACTTTTATCATACCTAGATTAGATACTTCAATCATAGGAGACCCTCCGTAACTGAAACTTATTTTGCATTAAAGTAAATTCATATGTAAACTTTTTACATTACCAATCTTTGTGGATAAAATAACAAAAATACTACCTTCTATTTATATGATGTATTATACTTATCAAAATACATTTATAAACATTATTTACTTTGATCCTTTAACCCAGGAGTTGGTTAGGAGAGATATTATCTGTGTTTGAAAGATGGAAGATATTGACATTCTGCAAGGTGAAGTATGTGCCCAAAGTCTCACAACAGTAAATGCAGAATTTGGACTTGAACCCAGGTTACTGACTTGGAGCTAGAAAATTATTTTCATTAAAGCATATTTCCCTTGAAATGATAATGGAAATTTTAACCAGAAAATACATGATACCCCACTATAGCAAAGATGAAATGTAGTGTTTTACATTTTTTCTTATTTTTTTTTCTGAATAAAAAGTGGCACTCAACCCTCCTGTTAGCTGTTCTGTTATTTGTAGCATCACAATGTCTGTGTGGATTGCATTGAAAAGCCCATTTTACAGTTAGGGTACAAAGAAGGCAAGTTACCATAAATTTCCAGCTATCCTACTTCTCCCATTAAATCTCATCTTATTTAGGAATATTAAAGCTTTCATTAGCCAATAGACACCTTTTTAGCTTACTCTGAATGTGGGTTGTATATATGTAGTTCTGCTTCTACCACTAACCAGTTCTTAAACGTGGAACAGGCCTCAACTGTGAAATAGTTTGTACTATTTCTCTGACGTCCTTTCCAATTAACTTCACGTGACCCAATGTTGATTACTGAACTGTTGAAAAAATCTCAGGCACACGTAGAGAGGCCAGATGGAATAGTGGATAGGAGAATGAATCTGGAGTGGTATTGCCTGGGTTCAGTTCCTGGCTCTGCCACTTGATGACTGGGTGACTTTGGGAGGGCAAAAATAGCTGCAATAATAGTACTGAGCTCATAGAATTGTTTTGAGAATTTAAGTAGAAGGCCTCTACAATTTCTGGGGCACAGCAAATTCTGTTATAATATTGTTATTATAACAGATTGTTACAACAATCTGTTGTTGTAATATGACCATTGAAACTTTTAGTTTAAAATTTTGCTATAATTTTAAGTGGTTTAGCTGCTGTTTAACTCTGATCCCAGAGATTCTAGCATCATATTAAAAAATGACACACCATAAATTTGTTTCTTAAATACAAATTTACTTAACTTTGTCCTACCTATAGCAGCTGACAGAAGCACTTAATATCTCCTATAAAAGAGATACTTTAAAAAATGGAATGTTCTCTGAATTGTTTTTGGCATTCACCTAAAATTCAATCTGTAAATTATAGCTGTCTTTATTTTTCTCTGAATATATTTATATACTCAGGCAAATAGTTAATAGTCTATAATAGTAATTGGTTTTAGGCATGAACTTATACTGATTTTTTTTGTCATTTTATTTTTGGATCAGGTACAAGAGGAATTTGAAGGCTGTTTATTTTGTACATCCCACATTTCGTTCAAAGGTACAGTATTTTTCTCTTTGGTTAAATCTAGAATTTATGTGCACTGCATGCCCAGAGTATTAAGATAATAGCTCAGCAACTTAATTGTTGCTGTCACCATTGTGACTGCTAATTTCCTGGTTTCTAAGTGATCTTGAGTTGTGGTCCTGATGTTTTGGTTGTATGTGACTCCAGCGCCTTTGTGGGCAACCCTTATAAGCCGTTAGCCCATCAGTCCCTGCCTGTTTTTGTGCTCTTTGTTCATCTGGGCCTCATTTATGCTGTTGTTACAGAATACACTTCCCTCCTCTGCCCATGGCTACCTCCTGTTTGACCTTCAGGTCTCAGCTGTACTTTCTGTAGAAATCCTTCCCTGACCAATCCTGCAGCTAGTAGCTGTTCTAGCATTGTAACCCCTTAAGATTCTGTAGTCTTATATCATTGTTATGTTTTTATTTTAATTGCATGTTTAATTTTCTTCCTTATACATGAGCCAGCAAGATCCATGAGGGCTAGAATATAGCAGTCTTGCTCACAATTATATTCCCACTACCTAAGCCTACATCTTGACTTCATCAAGATATCTAGTCTCTTGGTCTTTTTACTTTCTGAAAATATCATCTTGCCCTTATTTTCTTCTCTATCAAGCTAAAAACTGACATTTCATCACTTCATCCACTCTTGTCAATGCCTAAATTAACCTATGACCTGTTACCCTTTCATCACACCTGCCCATCAAAACCTAAACTTGAAATAATCCATTGTACTGCTTTCTTCACTCAAAGAAACCGTCAGTAAGGAGCTCTTTATCTTTACCTTCCCACTCCAAACCTACTTGCTAGCTGTTCTTATCATTGCCTCCTTTTTCTCTGTCACAAAAATGTGTTCCATCTTAATGAACACATTTCATTAATGTCCTTCTTAATGAAGGACAGTCCCTTTCCCTGTGCTGTGAATCCCATAGTAATGACATTAGCTTAAGTTTTCTGAGCACTTGCTATCTGCCAGTTCCTCCCATGAATTATCTTGCTTAAGCTTTGCAGTATACCTGTGAAATAGGTGGCAGTAGTTGTCCCACCATACAGGTAAGGGAATTGATGCTTAGAGAGATTAAGGAACCAAGATAACCAACAGTTAGTAGCAAAGGCTGGATTTGAATCTAGGCATTTTAATCCCAGACTGTAAACTACAGAGTGTATTTCCATTTCCTTAAAGAAGCTCTCTTCAACAGTTAGTGTCTTTCTCCTCTCCCGCTTTGCTGGATCCAAATTATCTACCAACTTTTAAAAATGCTAAGATCTATTTTTCTCTCCTCCACTTTACGACCAAAATTGTTTAGTATAATCTTTGTTCTATGCTCACCATCTCCATTTCTCATGTACCTTTTAAATTACTCCAGTGTGGTTATCCTGCTTTGCCAGCTGAAGCTTTTCACACCAAAATCATCCATAATTTCTGGGTCACTAAATCTAATAGACACTTTTCTCTCTCTCTGTTACCTGCATTCCCTGCAGCCTTAAACACAGTTGATCACTTCTCCTTGACACAGTTTGTCTTGGCTTCTTTGAAACTTACCTTGCCTGGTTTCTCTCCTACTTCTAGCTGCTGCTTCTCAGTCTCATTTGTCAGCCTCTCTCTCTCTCTTCTCATCTCTTTTTAGAGACAGGGTCTCAGTCTGTCACCCACACTGGAGTGCAGTGGTGTGATTATAGCTCTCTGTGACCTAGAACTCCTGGCCTCAAGGGGTCCTCCCACCTTGGCCTCCAGAATAGCTAGGACTGCAGACGTGCACCATCATGTCTGGCTAATTTTTTTTATTTTGTATTTTTATAGAGATGGGGTCTTGCCCTGTTGCCAAGGCTGGTCTCAAACTTTTGGCCTCAAGTAATCCTCCCATTTTGGCCTCCCAAAGTGCTGGGATTACTGGCATGAGCCACTGCACCTGGCTTCCTGCTTGCATCCTTTGAGTGTTAGTGTTCCCGTGTTTCTCCACCCTCATCTTTAATTCTATACCTTTTTTATTCCCATTTCTTCAGTGACCCTCCAAAATATATGCAATCTTCAAACATATATCTGGGGAGGCAATAAAGCCTAATGTTTAGAACCATGGTTTCAAGATTCAGATTACCTGGGTTCTAATCCCAGCTCTACCAGTTATCAATTTATCATCTCAGGCAAGTAGTATAATTTGTTTGCTTTTATTTTATCCCCTATAAAATGGAAATAATAGTACCTATCTTTTAGGGTTATTGAAAGATGAAATGAGTTAATACATGTAAAATACTTAAAACATTACCTGACGTATAATAAGTGCTCAGTAAATGTACACTATCATCATCATTGTCATTATCATCATCATCATCATCATCATTATCATTCTTAGGCTTTAGACCTTGGTATTGAACTACTGGTTAGATATCTCTACTTAGGCATCTTATAGGACCCTGAAGTTCAACATTTTTAAACAGAACTCCTCATGTACTCCTCTTCCACCTATTCCTGAACTGCTATTTGTGTTTTCTGTGTTAGCAAATGGGACTTCTGCCTACCCAAGTGCCTAAGCCAGAAACCAGAGAGGCATTCTGGAGCACTTTCTGTACCTCATCTCCTAGCACATTGCATCAGTTCTGTGTGTTTACAATTGCTCAAATTTATGTCTGTGTCTTTATTCCCACTGCCTCTACATTAGTTCATCCCACTATCAGCTTTTACTTGAAATGACACAGCAGCCTCCTAATTAATTTTCATGTTGTCCTGCCTCCAATATTGCACTGCTCCAAGAACCTTCAGGCATGCCTTGTGAACGATTTTCTGATAATGTTATTATAAGAAGCCTGCAATATTTACTATAATGGTCCTTTTCAAAAAAGTTTGCTATTTCCTGCATACGTTACCTTCTTCTGTAAGTAAAATGGGGATAGCAACAATATCATACCTGCCTCATAGGACTATTGTATAGTATGTTGATAAACATGGACTAATTTGTGATTGCCAATTTAGATAGATAAACAGTAATTTTTAAATTCAAGCCATTACCTAGTTTATGTCAGTATTGTTTGGTATCAAGAATTTTTTATCCTTTTTTTGGGAACCAACAAATTTTGCAGACTAGCTTTTAGAGAGGGATTGCATGTTGTCAAGTGAAATGAGCAAAGATGGCACCACATCTACAAGTGATTCACTTTGATGGACTTCGAGAAAGAAATTCATGCCAAGCATCAACTGAAAATATATGAGTCCCAAATATTGGCACAAATTTTCTTTTCAGTCTCATTTGAAAAATTCACAGTGTGAGATTTGGAGATATTAACCATTTTCAGAAGACTGGAACACCAATTATTCTACCAAATAATGCAGCGGTTTTGACTACAACCCACAGTAAGAAGCATGTAGTACAGCACTAACACACTACACGCATGGGAACTTATATACATGTAATGGAAACAAAAGCTTCATGAAACAAAACTCATTCTTCTTATAGTCTCTAGTCAGTGTTATCCTCGTTTCTTCTTTTTAATGTTATTAATAATCAACTAAACTGATGATTGCAAAATTCAGATTGCGCTTTGAAAACACTAGTTATTTTAAGACTTTGAAATATAGTTTTTATCTACTATAAATTTTCCAAATTGTGTTTATGTTTCTAACTATGGCAACTAGCTTAAATTATTTTTTCTCTTCTATTAATCAGGTGTCAACATGGTTTTTTACCACCTTTTCTGTCTCAGGACTGAAGGACAAAATCCACCATGTGGACAGCCTCCACCAGCTGTTTTCTGCCATATCACCAGAACAGATTGACTTTCCTCCTTTTGTCCTTGAATATGATGCCAGGGTAAGAAGTACCAGAAGTTCTCCCTCACCTGGTATGGTATATTAACTGTTCTATAGAGCAGCACTTACGAGCACAACATCCTGTCATTACCAGATATTAATGTAAATTAGTGAGTCTTAATAAACTTGGTAATATCATTTAACATACTTTCCCTATGATAACTTTAGGAAAAGGATTTGTCCCAAGAGAGGCATTTTCTCCAGATAAACGTTTCAGTGGGAGATCTCTCTGCTGTGAGTTCAGAACCAATTTTCGTTTGTATTGTAAGTTTTCTACCATATTTAAAACAGATACCTCTGCCTAATTTTCTTAAGATTGAATGGCTTTCCATCTACACAGAGCCAGAAGAATTTATTGGTGATCACTTTTAGAATTAATTGCAAATCATGTGGCCTATCTCAGTAGTCTTTACCCTGCTAAAAGTTTCATTTATCTAAAAGGTTGTATAATGTTTTTAAGAGCATCATCTGATAATATTATTGTTGTTATTTATAGATGCGTTTATGGATCTGTTACATAAGCACTAGTCACAGGACTACTCGTGAATTTCATCAATTTATTCTATTGTGTTTATTCATGATATCACCTTAGTAATTTTTGAAAAAAAAAAAGTAACACACTTGGCCAAAAGCTCATCAAGCTGATTGTTTAACTGTTGCTGATTGCTTATCTTTATATTGTATGAACCAGGGGATAGATTTGAAAGTTATATTAAGTTTGAAATGAATTATTCTTCCCTAATTATTGTGCAGTGTTTATACAGCAAAATAAAAATTCTGCAACACAATTTCTCTCTAACATTTCTCTAACTTTAGCTATAATTTTTTTCCCCTTATGTGCAGAGTAAAGTGTATAATGTGATCTAATGGCTAATAAAATTTCATATTTGGCTGTTATACAGAGAGGATTTGTAACTGGAGCAGCTGGATCATAGATACAAAAATTGTTGAATATAGGAAAGAGAAAAGAGTACATTAGTTTGTATTTACTGCAGATTGCTGGAGTAGAAAATGATCTTAGTGTTTTTCCTTTGAACTCTACATCACTCATCTTAATGCTTAAAAAAATGGATAGCAGAAAATGTGAAAGGCACTAAGCAACATTTTTACACTCAAAATTTTGAAGACAATTCATAGCTAGTATCTGGATTTATCATTTATTTTCTGGGATAGAAATATATAAGTTGGGTGTTTGATTAGGAAACCTAAAGGACTGTATTTTAAGCCAAAGCATTTTCTATATACTTAAGGGCCTATAAAGCAGGCTTTCATTAAATATTAAGTATAGCTCCACCACACTCAAGCTTGGTTTTGTTTTTTGTTTTGTTTGGTTGTGTATTTTGGCTGTTTTATTTTTGTATAAATACAAGCATAATGTAATTAATCAAAATTAAGTAGACTAACTTATAATCTAACACTTGGCTCATTGGATCATCTCTTTGTACCTATGCTAGAGCTTTCTAAAATTGAGATGTTAGATCAAAGAGAGGCATAAAAATGGGGAAGAAACAAAAGAGGGTTTCTTAGTCCATTTCTTTGTTGCTGTAAGGGAATACCTGAGGCTAAGTATAAAGAATAGATTTATTTGGTTCATGGTTCTGCAGGCTGTATGAGAAGCAGGGCACCAGCATCTGCTTCTGGTGAGGGACTCAGGCTGCTTCCACTCACGGCAGAAGGGGAAGGGAAACCAGTATGTGCAGGGATCTCATGGTGGGAAGGGAAGCAAGAGAGAGGGAAGGGAGGTGCCAGGCTCTTTTTAACAACCAGCTTTCACAGGAACTAATAGAGCAAGGACTTACTTATTACCACAAGGACAGCACCAAGCCATTTATGAGAGATCTGCCCCACCCCATGACTCAAACACCTCACATTAGACCCCACCTCCAACACTGGGGATCAGGTTTTAACATGAGGTTTAGAGGGTCAAATATCCAAAATGTAGCATTTTGCCCCTAGCCACCCAAACCTCATGTTCTTCCCTCATGCAAAATACAATCATTCCATCCCAGCAGTCCCCAAAAGTTTTACCTTGTTCCAGCACCAACTCAGAAATCCAAAGTCTCATCTGGAGACTCAAGGCAAGTTCCTCACAGCTGTAAATCTGTAAACTCAAAATCAAATTATTTGCTTCCAAGATATAATGGTTGTACAGGCACTGGGTAAACATTCCCATTCCAAAAGGGAGGAATAAGAGGAACAGGCCAAAAGAAAGGGGTAACTGGCCCCTTATAAGTCCAAAACCTATCAGGGCAGACACTAAATCTTAAATCTCCAAAATAATCTCCTTTGGCTTTATGTTCTGCATACTGGGCACACTGGTACAAGGGGTGGGCTCCCAAGGCCTTGGGCACCCCCACCCCCATGGCTTTGCTGGTTGCCACCCACATGGCTTGCTCTCACAGGTTGAAGCTGAATGCTAGAGGTTTTTCCAGGCTGAAATTCTGGGTCTGGACGGGAGCAACCCAACCCCACAGCTCCACTAGGCAGTGCCCCAGTGAGGACTGCCTGGAGGTGCTCCACCACTGGAGCAGACTTCTATCTGGGAACCCAGGCTTTCTGATGTATCCTCTGAAATCTAGTTCCAAGCTGCCAAGCCTCCACCACTCTTGCATGCTGCATGCCTGCAGACTTAACACCACATGGAAGCCACCAAAGCTTATAGCTTGCACCCTCCAGAGCTGTTGCCTGAGCAGTACCTGGGACCCTTTGAGCCATCGCTGGAACCAGAGGGGCTGGGATGCAGAGAGCAGCATCCTGAAGTGTTAAAGCCTTGTCGCTCCCAAACCATTCTGTCTTCCTAGTCCTCTGGGTCTGTGATGCGAGGAGCTACCTCAAAGATTTATCCTTGCTAATCTCTCTAGCAAGTGGTTGCTCCACAGCACCCCTAGATTCCTCTCTTGAAAATGTTCTTTCCTTCTCTACCACATGCCTAGGCTGAGTTTCTAAAATTTTATGTTCTGTGTCCTTTTTAATTATAAATTCCAACTTTTTGTCATTTCTTTGCTCTCATATCTGGTTATAAGCTGTTAAAAGCAGCCACACCACTTCTTGAATGCTTTACTGCTTAGAAATTTCCTCCAGCAGATACCGTAGGGTACCAGTATTGTTTGGCCTTCCATAAAACCCTAGGGGATGGACACAGTGCAGCTAAGTTCTTTGCTAGGGTGTAACAAGGATGACCTTTGCTCTAATTCCTAAGTTCCCCACTTCCATCTGAGACCTTATCAGCATGGCCTTTACTGTCTGTATTTCTATCAGCATTTTGGTCACAACCACTTAACCAATCTCTAAGAAGTTTCAAACTTTCCCTAAGTCTTTCTGTTGTCTTCTGATCCTTGCAGACTCTTCTAGCCTCTGCCCATTACCCAGTTCCAAAGCTGCTTCCACATTTTCAGGTCTCTTTATAGCAACACCCCACCCCTCAGTACCAATTTTCTGCCTTCATCCATTTTTATGTGGCCATAAAGGAATACCTGAGGCTGGGTAATTTATGAAGAAAAGAGGTTTATTTGGCTCACATTTCTGCAGGCTGTACAAGAAGCATCACACCAGCATCTACTTCAGGTGAGGGACTCAGGCTGCTTCTACTCATGGTCGAAGGGTAAGGGGAGCTGGTGGGTGTAGAGATCACATGGCAAAAGAGAAAGCAAGAGAGAGAAGGAAGGGGCATGCCAGGCCCTTTTTAACAACAAGCTTTCATAGGAACAAATAGAGTGAGAACTTATTACCACAAGGACAGCACCAAGACATTTATGAGGGATCTGCCCCATGACCCAAACACCTCCGACTAGGCCCTACTTCCAGCATGGGGATCAAATTTCAACATGAAGTTTGGAAGGTCAGATATTCAAACTATAGCAGAAGATATCAGGAGATGATGTGGAAGGGTCAGGCAGAGAGCACATCGCTGGATACAGTAACTTTACATATTAGTGCTGCAGGTCTTTGGCTTTGTAGTCAGTGAAGAGTGTTCTGCAAGGGAGAATTGCCATTACATTGCTGTTTAGACAATGACTGTAGAAACAGCACAGAGAATGACTAGAGAGGGAAGGGTAAGTCCATGGGGGAAAAGATGAGGTCTATTAGTAAAGGCTGGCAGAGAAACGAGACTATATTGTTAGGGCAGTGGTAGTGATAATGGCAGGGATTTGAAGATTTTAGAGATATTTAGAAATAGACATTTTAGGAAATAAAATTCACAGCATTTGGTGACTGAGTAGCCACTAAGGATGAAGCAGAAAATAAGTTTCTGCTTTGGGAGACTTGGTGGATATGTTGCTACCACCACAGAGAAGCAATTTGGAGGAAAAGGATTGACAGATTAGGGGGAAAGGACAGGTACTGTGTTCAGTTTGTGACACAGTAGGTTTGAGATGCCCCATCAGTCATTGAAATGGAGATACCAGTAGGTAGCTGCATGTTACCTTGTAAGGAAACATTTTCCTTTGTTAGGAAGAATTAAAACTATGATCAGAGAAAAGAAATGAGTATAGAGTTGGTTAATTTCATTATCATGTTCAAATTGTGCCTTGCATATAGAAGGTTCTTTATTTGGTTAAGGAGTGAAGTGGTTAGTATCTGTTTAAAAAAAAAAAGAAACCCAAGTTTCAGTGGGCTTCTATTTTTCTGGGATTTATGTGACTTGGAATAGCAACATCAATTTTATAGGATTAAAAGGGACCTTTGAAGGTAATCAGAAGCTATTTTTTAACCTATCTAGGTAACAATGATACTGAGACCATTTCAGAAAGAGAGTTATTGGCATTCTTAAAAACACAGAGCAGAGAATATACAGTTTTTCCTGGCAACAATTCTTAAAATTTCTATGATTGTTTCCAGAAATAGAAAAAATATTTGATTGCTCAGCAGTCTCTTGCCCAGTGTGAAATTAATAATGGAAATTCTATTTCATGGCATTAAGTATTGAACTTGCTCTTCTTAGTTTGTCATAATTTAATGTAGGTGTGAAAAACTTAGAAAAAATTGGTAATAGAATAGAGAACTCCTAAAGACAGATAGTGAACTTTTCAGATGAAACTCAGAATAGATTCATCTCTTCAGGGCATGTTTCTGTAAGTATAGCTTCCATGCATATTGAAGATAAAGGATTTGGTCAGTGAAACATTTTTATAGGTATTTCTTTTTTATATAAAATTATTTTATTTAGTTTTTTAAGTTCTGAGGTACATGTGTAGGATGTGCAGGTTTGTTACACAGGTAAACATGTGCCATGGTGGTTTGCTGTACCTATCGACCCATCACCTAGGTATTAAGCCCAGCATGCATTAGCTTATTCCCCTAATGCTCTCCCCCCACCCTCCCCCAACAGGCCCCAGTAAGTGTTCCCCTCCCTGTGTCCATGTGTTCTCATTGTTCAGCTCCTACTTGTAAGTGAGAACATGCGGTGTTTGGGTTTCTGTTCCTGCATTAGTTTGCTGAGAATAATGGCTTCCAGCTTCATCCGTGTCTCTGCAAAGGACATGATCTCATTCCTTTTTATGGCTACATAGTATTCCATGGCATATATGTACCATATTTTCTTTATCTAGTCTATCATTGATGGGCATTTGGGTTGATTCCATGTCTTTGCTATTGGGAATAGTGCTGCAGTAAACATACATGTGCATGTATCTTTATAATAGAATGGTTTATATTCCTTTGAGTATATACCCAGTAATGGGATTGCTGGGTCAAATGGTATTTGTGGTTCTAAATCTTTGAGGAATCACCACACTGTCTTCCACAGTGGTTGAACTAATTTACATTCCCACCAACAGTGTGAAAGTGTTCCTATTTCTCCGTACCGTCACCAGCATTTGTTGTTTCTTGACTTTTTAGTAATCGCCATTCTGACTGGCATACGATGGTATCTCATTGTGGTTTTGATTTGCATTTCTCTAATGATCAGTGATGTTGAGCTGTTTTTTTAATATGTTTGTTGGCCATATATATGTCTTTTTTTGAGAAGTGTCTGTTCATATCCTTTGCCTGCTTTTTAATGGGATTGTTTTTTTCTTGTAAATTTGCTTAAGTTCCTTGTGGATTCTGGATATTAGTCCTTTGTGAGATAGATAGATTGCAAAAATTTTCTCCCATTCTGTAGGTTGTCTGTTCAACTCTGATGATAATTTCGTTTGCTGTGCAGAAGCTCTTTAGTTAGATCCAATTTTTCAATTTTAAAAAAAGGTTTTATTAAGGTTTTTCAAGTTTTTAGAAATGTAGCCTATCCTAGGATTTGTTTCTACCTATTTTTTTTATTTTGTTTGATACATGGTTAGGTTTATAATTGGAATGTAAGTTTTCCTAGATGTCTTGTTTTCCTGGTTATGGCCCAAGATCAATTCTTGCTCCAAAGCATTTGTGCTGAAGAATGGCAGAGTACCTGATTTATTTAGTCTCAAACAATTTCACTGCCTGCTATGTTCAAGACCCGGTAGGTTTAATGCTCTGTAGTAGCTATAATGTAAATGTACCATGAAGAAATGCTATTTTCTTCTACTTATTCTTCATTTCAAACTATTGTCTTATACTAGTGCTAAGCATTATCTGTTTGTGATTTGCTGAAAAACAAATTCTTTGTCAAAGAAATACTTTCCTTAAAAATGAGAAAGCAATCTTAAGTCTCATAAATCTAATCCAGGATCCTTCTATCATAAACTTAACTGTCTTGATTTTTACTGAGATTAGCCAAAATCAGAGCCAAAAAATTCCCCCTTGCACTAATTTGTTACCCTTACATTGACATTAAAGGTTTGGCATTTAATTCTCCATCTTGATCTTGAACTAAATTTCCTGAGAACTGTAATTGTTACAAGCCTTGCCACTCAGGCATGTCATGAAGACTCACTTCTGCCAAAATAGTTATAGCTATTAAATTCCTCTGTGATAACTTTTTTGTTTTCCTAACTCTAAATTAAGATTTGGCACACAGTAAGACAACACAATCTAACAAAAAAGAATCTGGATGTTAGATTTAAATAGATTTGAATTTAAATTCAGGCTGTGCTGGTTACCAACTAGGTAACTTTAGGCAAATTATGCAATCTGTGTGATCCTCAGTTTCCTCTTCTGTAAAGTGAGGATGTTACCTACTTCATGGCATTATGTGAAGATTTAAAGGGATGACTTTAAAAGCGCCTATAAATTGTCTGGCACATAAAATATTCAATAAGTGGTATTATTCTTAAAAAATATTATGATCCTATTGCCTTTGTCTGTCTTATACTCTGAGTGATACTAGTTGAACTACCTAATGGCTGAGGGCCTGCTTAGTGCCAGACATGTGCTAGACATTTTATATCACTACCTCAATGACTGTAAATCCCTTTTTTTCACATTTCCAGTTAAATTGGTTCTGTTACTTAAATGTTCTTCTCCTTTTTTCTTTCCACAGGAAAACGGGCCTTACTATACATCATATCCCCCATCACCAGATTTGTGACCTGCCATCTTTCAGTGCTTCTTGGTTCCCAGGATGCCACTTCCTCCACGAATAGCTACCTGTTGAAGTGATATTCATTGTTGCTGTACAGATCCAGAGAGCCTTTTGTCCCCACCTCTCTGGTATTTTTTTATTGACTGTATATTTTCTGGCACATAAGCAATCTAAAAATGGTAGGCCATTCTGAACTGCACACATTTTAAATTTGTATATTTATATGAAATGGAAATGTTCATTTTTAGATTGTTAATAGAAATTGGGGAGCAACTTTTGAGTATCTTTAGTTTCCTGAAGGACACCGAATTCTCCATTAGATAAACCACCAAGACTGTTCACATCATCTCTCTAACATTGCACGCTTCCTTTGTGTACTTAAGTGATTCTCGAAATATACAGAACCAATGTATGCTAACCAGATGCATTGTTTGCTTCAGATCCATGGTGTTAATACCATGTATATTTTATAAAGATAATTTGGCTGTGTTAAAAGAGAATTACCTGAGTCCAAGAATGTGGAAATGTATCTGACAAAAAACATCAAAATCATTAGCAAAACATAGGACTTAGAATGTTAATGTACAAGTTAAGACTAAAGTTTAAGGACTAAGGTTCCTTGGATTATATGACTTGTTAAGATTGCCACAGTTCCGATCTCAACAGTGTGGGGTGAAACAAGAAGACTGTATCTTCAGCCTTTTTCCTATAATCATGGATGATTTGGTCTTATTCAAAAGGACCGCACATATTAGTACTCTTAAGAGCATCTTCCAAGACTCCAGCAGTGAGCATTTAGAGAGTGTGTTGTCTTCCAGAGTCATGAATGATTTTGTTTAGCTATCAGGTCTACTACCTCTAAGGACATTTCATAGCAGCATCTCTTGAGTTGCCTGCATCAGTGTGGAGGAAGTGTGTCACAGTGAACAAATCCAGGGAGCTGATAATTGGCAAAAGACCACTTTTACCACTCAGGCTCTATTTGTGCCTTAGCTTGGTTATGAGTAAAAATTAGAATTATGCTGCCTACCTCACAGAGGTATCATGAAGATAGCATTTAGAAAGGGCTTTGTTGTGGTGGGGTATCTTCAGTTAGTTTTTAAATGGGAATAAATATATATGAGGGAATGCTACACAGCACTCCTCTTGTCCTTGATACCATTTGAGTGATTTTTCTTTTTGTGTGGCAATACCTGTTAGTGTAAAATTCCAACCCTGATGACCTCCTTCCTCTTTTGTCCAGAATCTCTTCTGGCCTGCTCATCCCCTGATGCTATACTTCAATAAGAGGCATCTGTTGGCCATTTTAAACATTTCTTCTTGAATTAAGGTCAAACCATTATTATTCCCATCTGGGTAGCTTTGTACTTTTTTTGATTCCTACAGCCACCTCCCCACAGCCCCATCTTCCTCACCCCATCACGTACATTGGCAGTTCAGAGAAAAAAAAAAGCAGAACCTTTCTGTTCTATCATGTGCTCCAGATCAGTGCTTCCAAGGGTCCCATTCTTTTCTGCCCAAACTAATTCTTCATTGGAGATCAAAGAAACATATTCTCTTCATTTATGATAGGGAAATGCCCCTATAGTGCATTAAATTCATCCTGTATTTTCCCATATAAACAAGAAGAGACTTTACATTTTTTAGATAAAGGTTCTTATCTTTTGCATGTATTGAACACATTTTCTTTGTGTCAGACCTCAAAATTACTTGATCCTTATATATACATCTATGTTAAGATTTTCTCTTATGTCCCCTAGGTCATCACATCCAGGCAGCCAGTCAGATGTCGGATGTTAAGCTTTCTCTCAAACAGTACTTTTTTTTTAACCCCTTGGGCACTGTACCTTAAAAGTCTGCAACTTTAACTTCATCTTCTACAGTCAATCGTGAGATCATATTTGAGGTATCTTCTTCACAAGGAGCAGCTATGAAAGTCTGCCAACTTTTCTTTGTTAAAGGGGAACTTGGCTACCTCAAGAACCTGGCCCAAACCATTTTCTGTAGAGATAATAGAGGCCGTAAGCTACTTTGCCAATTTGAAAGGAAGCAAATTTATATATACAATTTCTTACAGGCAATGATTTTGAAAGGATGTTCCTTTGCTATATTCATACCAGTATATTAATGTTTAGTAACACAAGCAGGATTCTACATATGCTGAGATTTTAGTACAATTGATGTCCTAGGGTATAAAGGTGATACAGAACTATATACATATCAACTGTGTTTTATAATTCAATGATGACTAAAGAAAGATAAGGACCACTCTTCTCACTGAAACTAAATTTGATGTGGGACCAAGTTCATGCTTTTATAGATGTCTAAAGTGTTATAGAATGAAGTTGCTTCAAAGTACCAAATCCTAGAGGAGAAATATAATGACCTTGATATTGAAATGATTAAGCAACATTTGGTATACCAATCTGCCTTTGTGAAAAGGTTTAGCCTGAATAATACATGCCATTTTCAAGGACATATTAGAGGATAAAGGGGATACTGGATGGAGATGACCACCAGCATCTGATGTTAATTCAAAGCACCACCAAGTCTTTAATTTAATTAAACTTTGGTCATGCCAAATGCTAATTGAATTGTTGAAGACACAAGTTATAAAATATTAATTTATTAATCATGCAAGGCATAATATGATTTTTAAAACAAGTACACTTCTTGCTTCCACGTGTATTTGGGTTCTTAATTCATCTATATCCAAGTTTCTTGATAGTGAAAATTACCTCTTAAAAAAGGTTCAGCCTTTATTAGACTCGTGAGGGCAAATGGTACATATTTTAAAGACGTTTTCTCCTTTAATGTATATTATGTTTCATTGGCGGATGCTTTATATTTCCTTTTTCTTTTTCTTTTTTTTTTGGAGACAGTCTTACTCTGTCACCCAAGCTGGAGTGCAATGGTGTGATCTCGGCTCACTGCAGCCTCGGCCTCCCAGGTTTAAGTGGTTCTCCTGCCTCAGCCTCCCTAGTAGCTGGGACTACAGGTGCCTGCCACCATGCCTGGCTAATTTTTTTTTTTTTTTTTTTTTTTTTCAGTAGAGACAGGGTTTCACCATGTTGGCCAGACTGGTCTCAAACTCCTGACCTCAAGTGATCTTCCTGCCTCGGCCTCCCAAAGTGTTGGGCTTACCAGTATGAGCCACCGTGCCCATCCTGTATTTCCTTTTTCAAAGGAATACATCTGCAGTATTTTGAGAGTAATTAGCAGAGGGTTTTTTGAGTATTTTTGGTAGGAAAAATAGATGTAGTTTTTTAATCAAATTTCTGAAATTGAAAATATCACTTCTTTTTAAAGAGGGATAAGTATAGTCACTCTAGTAGAAAAACATGGCTTGCCTATTTCCTCTTCTTTTCTGTTTGCTTGGATATTGTTTAATGAATTCAAACTGTAGGTTTAGTCTTGTCTTTATAACAGTTAATGGAGAAGTGATAAAATTAAGTATTCAGCATAAACTAAAGATCACTCTTTGTATTTCCCCGATACATTGACAGTATGTATGTATATAGAGTTTAAATTGCTTAATATATGCACAGAAATGATTAGAATTTGAAGTACTATATAGAGGAGAGTTACATGGTTCTAGTGGCAGTGGATTGATTGTATTAAGGACCAAAAGAACTGCAGGATAATATAAAAACACCTTGAAAACTGGAGTTAGTTAGGTTTCTTTTTCTTTTTCTTTTTTTTTTTTAAAGGGCCTTACTGTACTTTTTTTTTTTTTTTGGTCACCCAGGCTGGAGTGCAATGGCACGATCTCGGCTCACTGTAATCTCTGTCTCCTGGGTTCAAGAGATTCTCCTGTCTCAGCCTCCCCAGTAAGTGAGATTATAGACATGCACCACCATGCCCGGCTAATTTTTGTATTTTTAGTAGAGACGGGGTTTCACCATGTTGGCCAGGCTGCTCTCGAATTCCTGACCTCAGGTGATCTGCCCACCTTGGCTTCTCAAAGTGCCAGATTACAGGCATAAGCCACTGTGCCTGGCCAGGTTTCTGATTATAGTTTTCTTAAGTTGTAATCATCATAATTAACGTGCGCTAGAGTGTTTTAACTGTGCTGGCACTAATGCTTCTTGGCATATAATTAACTCTTGTTTTGCAAAAAGACCATGAAGAATGAAAGGAGGGCTTTACCTTACCTTAGTCATTTTGGGTGAATACCGTAAACTGGGTGGCGTAACAAAACACATTTATTTCTCACAGTTGGAGGCTGAGAAACCCCAAGATCAAAGTGCCATCCAGCGCAATTCCTGATGAGGGCCCTCTTCTGGCTTCTTGCTGTATTCTCACTTGGCAGAGAGAGAGAGACATCGTTACTTTCCTGTCTCTTCTTATAAGGGCACTAATCTCATTCATGAGGGCTCCACCCTCATGACATGATTACCACCCAGAGGCCCCACCTCCAAATGCCATCACTTTGTATGTTAGGGCTTCAACATATGAATTTGCAGACGAGGAGGAGAACATAAGCATTCAGTTCATAACATACCTATAATCTAGGTCATATCATAAACCCAGAGATGATAAGGATTGCCTGGTAGGCCTAACCATATATACATATACATGCATGCACACACACATATATGCATAATCTGCCTTGTTTTACATTCTTTGAGTCGGACTTCTGTGGTCCATATGTAGAGAACATAGAGCAATAAATAACCTAGTTCAATCTTTGAGTCTTACTGAACTAGTCCTTAAACAGATGGTATCAAGATCATTTTAGATATTAGTGACTCTCTTGTATATTAGTTATTTTTTACACTTTTAAGAACAGCATCTTTGAATCTTTTCAAGTACAGTATGCCTTAAATGTATAGGACCACTGAGTTCAGGAAGAAAAGCATAGGTATTCTGTAGGTGAATTACACTAACAAAATCACAACTGCAGAATGTGATCTGATACTTTTGTTGGACAGTAAAGCTAATACATTTTATATACACAGTCATACCTTTTTTTTTTGTAATGTGTTTCGTTAACGTAAGCACACAGTCATCACAGACTGAGACAGGACTTTGTTAGACCAGATCTTGTGAGCTAAATATTTAAGAGCTTAACATATATAAATGATTTTAATTGGTATTGGGCGAAGGAAACCTAAAAATGCTTAAATTGACAGATCTTACAATTTGCTTACTGAAAATTCAGAAAGCTTTTATGAAAACTTTGTATTTTAAAATATTTTTTGCTCATTCTGAATTAGAAGTTAGATCCCTTTTAAAGAGGGTCTCACTCTATACAAATATAGCCTATGAAGAATCAATAGTGAAATAATAGTGTTTATATTGAACCCCAGGATGGGACATTATTTTTTGACCATTTACATGAGGTCTTTCTCTAATTACCAAAGTTAACCTTAAGAGTAGTTAAAAACTCAGTGAATTTTAGTCAACATTCTCTGTGGAGACCTGGACTAGTGTTTCCCAAACTTTCATGTGCATGTATCAAATCAGCTGAGGATATTATTAAATGGAGATTCAGATTCAATAGTTCTGGGGTGGCCTCTGGGATTATCAGTTTCTAACAAGCTCTTAGGTGTTATCAATTCTCCTGGTCCCCAGACCATAGTTAGAGTAAAAGAGTATAGACTGCATTTAGCTTCCAGATTTTCTCTTTCAAGGAAAGGAGACAGAACTGTCATTGTAATTCTTCCTGTGGTCCAGGCACTCTAACGTTCATCGTCTCTTCTAATGCTCTTACAAATCCTGTGAGGTTGGTGATAATAGAAGTTACCTCCTGAAGACGACATTCACAAGCAGGACCGACCGTGTAGACCAGTTTTCTCAAACTGAATAATGTACTTCACTTTTTAATAAGGAAAAAAATCTCTTAGCTCCTCAGTTTTTGCTTAATTTATATTTATTATAATGTTATCTAAATATATATAAACATAAAACTAGGTATAAATGCTTTATGTTTATATGTCTTGCACAAGTATAAAACCAAAACAAGTTTATGGGTTAACACAAGCAAAACTATAAAACTAATAAAATTTAAAATAGTATTAAATAGTGATGTTTTGACAAAATGAAATTGTCACTTGTAATGTGATTATGGTACTGAGTGCTACAGTACAGGCTCTTTTCAGTTCAACAGGCATGTACTGCCATGTACTATGTGATGACCCAATTCACCCTGTTTTCTCCTATTCAGACTATTACTTTAATTTGTTCAGCACATAGTGATGTTATTTGGTCCTCATCTAGCCTGAATCCATCATTCCCCTATTAAAACAGCCTCTGTTCTCCATAAGCCTTCCACCACTAATGTAGAACTGGGCCTTAACAGGGAAGTCAATACAAATACAAACCTAAGCACTGAGATGGTTCTGCCAATATTTGGTTTTAATACAATTATCCAAATAATTCAGAGCATGAATATTATTTTAAAATGTTTCATCAACATGAATAATGCATAATTCTCATAGTAAGTTCATGGGCACTTTCCTACACCCAACACATATATACTCCACAAGGATTTTGCATGGACCCCAGTTTAAGAAGCAACAATTTAGTGGTCAGTAGCATTGGCGCTTTGGCTTCTGACACACTCAGACCTTGGGCCTGTTTCTCAACTTTTTCTGAACCTCAGTGTTTTTGTGTATTCAACAGGGATAATATTAATTGAATAATTAGGAGGAACAAATGCAATAATGTACATAAAGCATGCATAGTAGTGTTTATAAATAGCAGCCACCACTGCTTTGATTAGAAATAATAACAGCTAACATTTGAGGATTTACTGTGTGCCTTGAACGCTGCTAAGCTCTTTATATATATTACATATTGAGTGGTAGAATCAGGATTCAAATCCAGATCTGACTCCAAAGCGCATGCTTTTATAAAACATAATTTAAATATAGAATATCAATGTAAATTGCTTATTTAGAAAGTTTATTTTCTTATATTTTCTCAAAAATATTTATTGTCAAATCAGTGATTCTGTAGAGGGGTAAATAGCTAAATTTCCTTTTAAAAATTGTATGATGTGCTGATTTCAAATTGATGTGAAATACAGATTTCATTTAAAGGCAGTCATGCCAGATTGTGCTACAGTAAAGGAATATTCAGACCATTGGGCTCAACTTAGCATTATTATTCTCTTGCATATTTGTGATCAGTAACTAATAACATGAGATTCTCCCTGAATTGCAATATAGCTTTTTTTGCAGAAAAAGCATTCCCCCCATCAGTATTATTCCATGTCAGTTTTGTGAAATAGTGTGCAAACATCCTAATGTTCATATGTAAAACATCTTTCAAAACTTTAGTTTTTAGTCAGTCTTCTATCTTTTCTTAGTTTTCTAAGGTAAACTCTGCAATTCTGTAAAAATGAAGAAACATACTGTAGGCTGGATTTTTGTTTGTTTTGCTTCGTCTCTGTTTGGGTAATGGGAGGAAATACTAGTAGAGAGTTGCAAAAGAAACTACTCCAGTAATTATTTATTAATGAAGATGGTAGTTATCAAATTTAAAAATTTTCTCTACTTACTAAAACATAAATTTGCACAAATTATTAAAGTAGTAGAGACATGAAATATGAGGCTGTTATTGAATTTTGTTAATTAAGATTATTTTTAAAATATGTCCCTTTATCCCATCCTAGATAACAACACAATAATAATAATCTATGTTGTGGAAATTATTGATTCTTTTCCATTGCAGCTTCTTTTCTACATTTCTAGAGTCTTCAAGTTTAGTGAATGAATTTCTCTCCATATGTGCAGGTTATCAAGATAGAACATATGTTTTCTGTAATACTTCATCACTGCCTCAACATATCATACCATAAGAAAATTGCTTGGCTGGGCACAGTGACTCATGCCTGTAATCTCAGCATTTTGGGAGGCTGAGGTGGGTGGATCACCTGAGGTCAGGAGTTTGAGACCAGCCTGGCCAACATGGTGAAACCCCATCTCTACAAAAATTAGTCGGGCATGGTGGTGCACGCCTGTGGTCCCAGCTACTCAGGAGGCTGAGGCAGAAAAATCGCTTGAACCTGGGAGGCGGAGGTTGCAGTAGCCAAGATCGTGCCACTGCACTCCAGCCTGGGTGACAGAGCGAGACTCTGTCTCCAAACATAAAAAGAAAAAGAAAAGTGCTCTGGCATAACATTTATAGATACAGCCCAGTCTTCCTAATTTTCTTCATTTCAACAATGTTATTTGACTTGAGTTATAAGCCTAGTTCAGTTAAAGTTATGGTCCTCTTTCTCTTATTGAATACAAATAAGACATTTTTATATAACTTTTCCTTTACTACTTGAATGGGATGGCCTCTAGTCTTTTGCTTCTTTAAAATCCAAACTTACTGTTTATTAGTAGGTTTATAAAGCATTTGACTATTTATGTTTTCTAGTTTAGATGTGTCTGGTATTTACATTTTGAAATAATATAAATTATAAAATATGTTTTTTGAAATGGGGGTTATGTTATCAATTTTATTTCTAAAAGTAAATTAGGTGTTAAAATTTATTATGAAAGGGGATACTGGTTCTCAGACAGTTCAGAATCACTGAAACCCCTTATTTTACAAATGAAGAAATGGAGGCTCAGGCAGGTTAAAGCAGATTGGACTAACGCCAAATCATGTAGATTCTAGGTACTGTCGGTGACATTGCCACTGATAGCTTGAGCTGTTTGGTTGATAACTACATTTGCACAGCTGTCAGACTTTAACATTCCCACTTATGTCCTCTAAAGAAGGGGGATTTTAAAAAATTCATTATTTATTTTTTGTTTACATGACATTTGCTTAGCCAAGTTCCAGGGGAGGACCAGAGTTCAGGAACTAGCAGCAGAGGTTAGCAATCATCATTGTGGGATTGTGAAAATATTTTGAGGTGGGTTTAATGTTAAATTTAAACATTTGGGATTTTTTTTTTTTTACACAAATGCTCATTTACTGTCTCATCCCTTAAATAGAAATTCCTCCTTTCAGCAAAGTTAAACAGGAAAGCAGCATTTAGAATCACCTCTTGGGCAACCAAGTAACACTAAGAAAATGTTTATCTGAATATGATGAACTTACACCACCTAGAAAACTGCACAGACTTGGGCAGTGATACCCTATCAAGTGCCAAAAGTATGCCAAGATAAGCTTCATAATAAAATTATGGAGGCTCTCACAAGAGAAACTGAATTCTTACCTATGAGCTCATTTTTTCTGACATTAATTTGATAGCATGGAAATTCTAGCTTGTTCTTGCCTGAAATGGGCAAGATCACAATACAGAGAAAATCTATACTTCTTCTACTCATTCAGCAAATCATTACTAAGGATCTATATGTCGAAGTAATGCTAGCTGCCATAACAAACAATCTGAAAATGCATAATGGTTTAACCACAGTAGAAATGTATTTTTCACATAAAGCCTAAACAGATGTTCCTGATGAGCAAGCAGCTCTTCTCCAAGTCCTGATTCAGAGACCTAAGTATCTTCAATATTGGGGGCCTGCCAGCTTCAACATGTGGCTCCCAAAGGATTCGTGCTTTTCTGCTTCAAGCTGGCAGATGGGAAAACAGCATGGAGGACCTGCCCACAAAGTTTTTATATGTCAGAACTGGAGGTGGCACATACCACTTCTGTTCAAATGCCATTATGTAGAACTCAGTCACTTGGCTACACTTAAGTGTAAGTTTAGGAGGCTAGGAAATGTAGTCTGTGGGCCCAGGATGAAGAGAATAAGAGTTTGGTGCTAGCTTTCTGCAATAAACTTTTGGGCTGTCTGCTAGGTGCTGGAAACAAAATTATAAAAGAGATATTCCAGCTAAGTGCAAATAAATTGCAACATAGTGAAAAAAATGCCTCACTACAGATATAGCAAATGTCATTTCACAGAGTAAGTCAAATGACACATGATCACAGTTTTGCCTCAAACAAAATCCCATGGTATAACTTGGGACACTGAACTGAAGCTCTTAGTTTCTTGAATCCCTATCACCATATGTGCACATACAGGCTAATAGGTTATAAATATTCTGTGTTCCATTTCAGATAACCACAGTAAAGTGAATACTGCAATAAAGCAAGTCACCAGAATTTTTTAATTTCCCAGTGCATATAAAAGTTATGTTTACACTATACTGTAGCTTATTAAGTGTGCAATAGTATTATGTTTTTTAAAAGCCAATGTACATACCTTAATTTAAAAATTCTTTATTGTGAAAAGATGCTAACGATCATCTGAGCCTTCAGCGAGTCGTAATCTTTTTGCTGGTAGAGGGTCCTGCCTTGATGTTGATGGCTGCTGACTGCTCAAGGTGGTGGCTACTAAAGGTTGGAGTGACTGTGGCAATTTCTTAAAATAAAACAGCAATGCAATTTTCCACATCCGTTGACTGTTCCTTTCACAAACGATTTATCTCTAGCATGCAATGCTGTCCTTTAGCATTTTACTCAGAGTAGAACTTCTTTCAAAATTGGAATCAGTCCCCTCAAACCCTGCCAGTGCTTTACCAACTAAGGTTGTGAAATCTTCTAAGTCCTTATTGTCATTCCAGCAATGTTCACAGCATCTTCAATATATTCCATCTCAAGAAACTACTTTGTTTGCTCATCCGTAAAAAGCAGCTCCTTATGCATTAAAGTTTTCTCTCGAGATTGCAGCAATTCAGTCACATCTTCAGGCTTCACTTCTAATTCAAGTTCTCTTGCTATTTCAACTACATCTGCAGTTACTTTTTCCATGGAAGTCTTGAACTCCTCAAAGTCATCCATAAGGGTTGGAATCTACTCCCAAACTCCTATTAATATTGATATGTTGACCTCCTCCCATGAATCACAAATGTTCTCAATGGCATGTAGAATGGTGAGTCTTTCACAGAAGGCTTTCAATTGACTTTGTCCAGATCCATCAGAGGAATTACTATCTGTTGCAGCTATTGCCTTACAAAAAATGTATTTGGTAAGTAATAAGACTTGAAAGTTGAATTCACTCCTTGATTCATGGGCTGCAGAATGGATGGTGTGTAACAGGCATGAAAATTTCATCTTGTAAATCTCCATTAGAGACTTTGGGTGACCAGGTGCGTTACCAATGAGCAGTAATATTTTTAAAGAACTCTTCTTTTCTAAGAGGTAGATCTCAACAATGGCTTAAAATATTCAGTAAACCAGCCAGTCGCGGTGGCTCACACCTGTAATCTCAGCACTTTTGGAGGCTGGGGCAGGTGGATCATGAGATCTGGAGTTCAAGACCAGCCTAGCCAACATGGTGAAACCCTGTCTCTACTAAAAATACAAAAATTATCCAGGCATGGTGTCACACGCCTGTAGTCCCAGCTACTCTGGAGGCTGAGACAGGAGAATTGCTTGAACCTGGGAGGCAGAGGTTGCAGTGAGCCGAGATTGCACCACTGTACTTCAGCCTGGGCAACAAAGTGAGACTTTGTCTCAAAAAATAATAATAATATTCAGTAAACCATGCTGTAAACAGGCTGTCATCTGGGATTTGTTGTTCCATTTATAGAGCACAGGTAGAGTAGATTTAGCCTAATTCTTAAGGGCCATAGAATTTCTGGAATGGCAAATGAGCATTGGCTTCAACTTAGTCACCAACTGCATTAGCCCCTAATAAGAGAGTCAGACTTTCCTTTGAAGCTTTGAAGCCAGGTATTAACTTTTCTCTAGCTATGAAAGTCCTAGAGGCATCTTCTTCCAATAGAAGTCTATATTCTCTACTTTGAAAGTCTGTTGTTTAGTGTAGCTACCTTCATCAGCTAGCTAGATCTTCTGGATAACTTGCTGCAGCTTCTACATCAATACTTGCTGCTTCACCTTGCACTTTTATGTTGTGGAGGTGGCTTCTTTCCTTAAACCTCATGAACCAACCTCTGCAAGTTTCAGACTTTTCTTCTGCAGCTTTCTCACTTCTCTCAGCCTTCATAGAATTGAAGAGAGTTAGGGTCTTGCTGTAGATTAAGCTTTGGCTTAAGGGAATGTTATAGCTGGTTTAATCTTATATTCAGACCACTAAAACTTTGTCCCTGTTTACTGATAGGGACACATTTCATCACATTTTGTGCTCACTGGAGTGCACTTTTAATTTCCTTCAATAACTTTTTTTTTGCATTCACAACTTAGCTGTTTGGAGCAAGAAATCTAGCTTTCAGCCTGTCTAGGCTTTTGACGTACCTTTCTCCCTAAGCTTAATCATTTCTAGCTTTTGATTTAAAGTGAAAAATATGTGACTCTTCCTTTCAGATGAATACTTAGAGGGCATTGTAAGGTTATTAATTGGCCTAATTTCAGTATTGCTGTGTCTCAGGGAATAGGGAAGCCCAAAGAGGGCGAGACACAGTGGAACAGCCGGTCAGTGGAGCAGTCAGAGCACACAACATTCATTGATTAGGTTTTCCATCTTATATGGGTGCAGTTTGTGGCCCCAAAATGATTGCAATAGCAACATCAAAGATCATATTAGTATAATAATGAAAAAAATTGAAAGTCTTGCAATATTGACACATCAGTATTGCAATGTCTTGCAAAATGTGACACACAGACATGAATTGAGCATGTGCTGTTGGAAAAATGGCACTGATAGACATGCTTGGTGCAGGGTTGCCACAAACCTTCAATTAAAAAAAACCTATTTTTTCCAAGCACGATAAAGCAAAGCACAATAAGATTATGTATGCCAATATTCTAAAACAAACAGGATGGAGGAGCATCTAGACATTCTTTACTGAATCTTGTAATAATCTTACTACTCAAAGGAAGGTCTGTGGATCAGGAACATTGACATGTTAGGAATATAGACTCTCAGCCCCCACCCCAGCACTACAGAATCCGATTTCATTTTATCAAGATGCCCCAGGCAATTTACATCTACATCAAGGTTTAAGAGTCCTTGTAATCCTGGCTCTGGCATTTACTAGCAGTGTGATGTTAGATTGCATAATCTCTGTGTCCACTTTGTCAACTGTAAAATAGAGGGTGGAGTACAGGAAGACAGGGTGCATGTAATTGGATATTGGGATATCTCTAGAGATAAGGTACACAAATGTTAAATAACACCTCTTGCTTAGTAAGCATTGGTTATTTTCACGTGCTAAGTACTTTCAAAAACAACTGTAAGGGGATACAGCTTTCAAATTCTCTTAAGTATTTGAACTCATCGTCTTTAAACCCTTACCCTTATTTATGTCATATTAAGGGTTTTTAGCCTATTGAAATGTTGGGGAGGGTTTTTATTCATCTGGTTTAGTCTTTCTTCCTTAGAGATGAGTAAGCACAGGAAAAATAAGCATTTCCAAAGTCAGCAAATAGTGTTTGTCCTAATAAGCCCTAATATAGACAAATGGCCATAACTTCAATCAATGAATTATCAAGTTATAAACTTAAAAATATACACAGAAACAATCTAGTAATTTGTCGAACCTTGAAGGACACTGACTGCTTAATGGACTTTAGTCATAATATGTTGTAACCCTAGATTAACTGAAATGGGTGAAATGGATATGTATATATAGAATAAGTTTGTGCAAAGAGAAGATAACCTGGTTTTCAACTTCTTTGAAAACATGTTTTAGTATAATCTTTGTGCATCGTTTAGTAAGTATAATATATTCTATTAAGTTTCATGTTTGTCTTATGTAATGATTTGGAAAGCACATCCAGGTCTTTCAGTGTCTCGGGCTCATCCTTCTCATACTGTTTCACTTCATCCTGTGTGGTCAGTGTAGAAGGTTATCAGAGCAGAATCTGTACTGCCCTAAGAACAAGTCTGGGACTTCCAGAGCATCTTTAAAGTAAGTTCCTATTATCAGTTTATTTGGCTTTTGCCTCTTTTTCTAAAAGTAAATTATAATGTTAAAATTCCAGTTTAATTAAGGTATGTTTACTGATGTTATGGGATGGCTTACTTTAGACTCATCAAATTCTGTAAAACTGGAAAAGAAATTGAAAGGCCTTAATTCTTACAGCTTTTACTCAAGGAAATGAGCAAATCTAGCACCATTTACATTTGAGTTCAAATAGGAATAAGGTACTAACTTTAACCTCAATTGTTGAATTATACCATTGATTTGTTGGAATCATGGATCAGTGGGAACTTTTCAAATTAAGAGGGAATTCTTTTCTGTTCCCATCTATGTCAAAACTTGTATATATTTCTATGCATTCAGACCCTGCTTCTCAATTCACAGAGAAATGAACTTAAAGTTTGGAAAGGAAGCATGAGCATGCTTCACAGTTGTTTTCTTTGTAAAGCACTTAGTACAAGACCAGAACTAAGGGGTGCTCAATGCTTTCTTATTAAATGTATCTTATTGGTATGGAAAAAGGTGTCCTAGCAAACCTATTTAAAAAAAAAAAACCTATTTATTTATTTATTTATTTTGTAGAGTCTGGGTCTCGCTATGTTGCCAGGGCTAGTCTTGAACTCCTGGCCTCAAGCGATCCTTCTGCCTAAGGTTCCCAAAATGCTGGGATTACAGCATAAGCCACCACACCTGGGCAGCAAACCTAATTTTGAGCCTAACATAACACCTGTGGGAGTTAAGCAGGAAAGAATTAAGAATCCCCCCACCCTTTTTTTTTTTTTTTTTTTTTTTGAGGCAGGGTCTCACTTTGTTACCCAGGCCGGAGTGCAGTGGTGTGATCGTGGCTCACTGCAGCTTCGACTTCCTTGGCTGAAGCGATCCTCCCAACCCAGCCTCCTGAGTAGCTGGGACTACAGGCATGCATCACCACACCTGGCTGACTTTTTTATTTTGTAGAGACAGCGTCTTGCTATGTTGCCCAGGCTGGCCTCAAACTCCTGGGCTCAAGTGATCCTCCTGCCTCCACCTACCTCCCCAAGTGTTGGGATTCTAGGCATGAGCCATTGCATCTGGCTGTACCTGGGCTTTTTTGTTTATTTGTTTTGTTCTTATGTTTATAATCATTTATTTTATTATGACATGTACCAAAATCAAACTATAATATCATAATCCTGTACAATATTCTCTTTTGATGTAAAGACTCATGACATATGCCTATTTCTATTCTAATCTTATAGAGTATATCCTTTTTTGGTATATTTATTTTTATTTTCTTTCTTCTTTTTTAGCAGCTTTATTGAGATATAATTTACATATTATAAATATCATCCATTTAAAGTGTACAGTCCAGTCATTTGTAGTACACTCCAAGAGTTGTATAACCATCACCACAATCTACTTTTAGAACAGTTTCAACATCCTAAAAAACTCCATACCCATTTGCAGTCATTCCTTATTCCCCCTGTCCTCCATGCTTCCTCCCGTGTCTGGGTTTTACTGCAGTGTGTGCTCCCTCTTAGACACTTCTTCATACTCATAAGTATTTGTTGAATGAATTAACAAATTAACACATGGGGGTACATGTGATATTTTGATACATGTAGGGCATTGTATCCACACAGAACACTAGCTATGAGTGGTAGCTAAGGTTAGTTGAAAGGGCAGTGGAATAGGTGTCAAAAGACTTGATTCAATCCTACCTCTGATTCTTACCAGCAGTGTTGGGCCAGGTTCAGCATCACTTGCCCCTTCCAAGTCTGTTTTCACATCTATAAAATGGAGATATCAACATCTGCTTCACAGGGTAGTTGTGAGAATCAGTTGAGAAGATCTGATCACAGTACTTGGCAACAGTGCTTGGCCCACACTAGGAAGGTAATTATTGTTTGTTCAGCAATGGAAGATAAACTCCTAGGTTCGTGACCAGGGGAAATATCTGCTACCAGATTAGAGATTAAGGAAATCTTGTAGCAGGTATTTTCCCTGGTAGGGGTTCAAAGTAATGTCATAGCACGTTTCAGTGCCTCAGTCTCTCTAGTTTACTTTTTCAAAGAAGAGAATTCTAGAGTAAAAATTACAACTACTGTGCCTACCTTTCCTCACAACTGCTGCCTCTACTATTTCTACATAATAGCTGTTTCTTCTCCACATGCTAATGTTGATTCTTCCCGTAGAGCACACACTTTCTTATAGGCAAACACCATTCATCAACTATGAAGAACTGACCTAGGATGGATTACCAGCTCCTCATCCCAACCTCAGCAGTATTTGTCACTCCTTTCCTTTACTGTGGGTGCAGAAACCATCTCCAGGAGGAGAAGCTGTCTAACAAACACTGACAGCCTGGGAATGATTGCTAGGCTTTCTTTCAGGGTCTAAGGAACATATTTAATTGTCTTTGCAATTCTTATAGCTGCCACCTCCCTCTGCCCCCAGAGTTGGCTTAGCAGATTTGCTATGCATGTGCATCTTAAGAAAATATCTCCTATGCAATAGTAATGAAGTAGTGGTAGCTATCATTTATAGTATGCCAGGCATTGTAAAATATATATTTTTTTGCATTGTGATACATATATAATATAGTATCCAGGCATTGTAATATACATATATATGTATGTGTGTGTATATATATATATATATATATATATATATACACACACATACTAGTTTATTGAGGCTTCTGTGTGACCTAATATATGGCCATTTTTGACTGATACATAATAGTTGCACATATTTTGGGGGTACATGTGATATATTGATACAGGTAGGGCATTATAAATATATTGTCTTTACAATAACCTGGCAATTATATTGAATATTGTCAATGAAAAAAAAACCTCTCAAGTTAGGTATTTTTCTCATTTTACAGAAGGAAAAAAGTATCTTAGAGAAGTAATGAAACTAGCTATAAGGTAACATCAGGGAATAGATTTTGGAAAGGCAGAGATTAGGTAAGCCTACCTATACAAAGCTTCTTACTGTTGGGCTATCCATTATGTGATATTGGTCTGGTAGGTAGAAGTATAGGCTTCAATTAAAATTGTAGCCCAGCTATTTACTAGCTTTGTGGCCTCTGATATATTTCCCAACCTTGTTGAATTTCACTTCTCTCAGATGTAAAAAGTACTTGCTTCTTAGAGTTGTTGTGAAGCTCAAATGACTTAATACTTCTAAAATGCTCATAAATATTTATTGTCTCATTTAAATATTCCAATTGCTGTGATCAAAATGTTTCACTCTGCACACTTATCAGATACACTTGATTTTTTAATTTTAAGGTATATTCATTACTCATTTAGAAGATGTATATTTGGTATGTCTATCCTACAAGAGAAAATTACATTTTAAATCAGGGTTGGCATACTTTTTTAGTAAAGGGCCAGATAGTAAATATTTTAGGCTTTGCAGGCCATATGGTCTCTTGTCACAACTACTCAAATATGCTGTTGGAGCATGAAAACCATTACAGAACAGTACATTAACAAATGGGTGTGCAGTGTTCCAGTAAGACTTTATTTATGGAGACTGGAACTTACATTTCTAATAATTTTCAAGTTTAAACAAAATACTATTTTTCTTTGTGTTCAACCACTTAAAAATTTAGAAACCACACTTGAGGGCCATATAAAAACAAGCAGTGTGTCATAGTTTGCCAATCCCTGTTTTAAATAATTCAATGGTTCTTTAAAGCTGATGAATCCAGCAGAGCCCTAATTATGGAAAAGCATTGTGGAAGAGAGAAATCAAGAGCCAGCCAATCTGTCAGCTAGTTAGCCCCGAGCACAGCTATATTAATTACTCCCTTGCCTAACACAATTCATGCAACTCCTTTGAGCTTAACCTTTTCATCTATAAAAATGGAGTAATGATAGATCTCCAACCCATACCTACTTTATCCTGGTGAAGGGAGTTTAGTAATAATTAAATAATAATTAAATTACTGAATTTTTATCCCTGTGCTAGATATTTGAGTCATTTAAGTTCTAATCTTTTTATTCCCACTTTATAGAGGAAGAAATGGAAGTTCAGGGAGCCAAAAAAAAAAAAAAAAAACCTGTTCCAGGTTGTCACACCAGTGTCTAAGCCCAAGTGCGTTTGACTCAAACTCTCATAAACTCTTCCAACCTCCTTAGTAGAATGGAAATTCCATGAGAGTGGAGACCACACTGGACTTGCTCTGCACTACCCCAGTGCTCAGACTAGTACCTGGCATATAGCAGGCACTGAATAAATACTTGTTGAATAAATGAATGAATTTATGCCAGTGGTTCTTAATCTTAGGTTAGGGATGGCTTTGAAAAAATCTTAAAGTTATGGATCATCCTTCCAGATAAATCATATCTCAAACTGAGAAACCTTGCATTTAGGATTTGGCAGACTATTGAAAGAAGATGCTATTCCCCACACTCTGAATAACATTGATTAGAATTCTTTTCATAGGCATGGAAACAGGATTTTTAGATGTCTTGTTTCTTTCTTTTTCCTGTGTTCATGTTGAGGGCATTACATAGGCCTAAAATGTTTTTTTTTTTTCTGTCTCTACAGTCTGCTCATAGCTCTTGGGCATACTTTTTAAATCTCTTGAGTCTCTTAAATGGCACCTTCTCAAAAACTAATACTTAAAAATGACTTTTGTTGGATCCAGACTACTTCAAAATGAAAAGTGAGAAGGCTATTAAGCCTAATATGCAATTTTTTGTCTTCAGAAATAGAGCTGTTAGGGAAATACCCACCCTTCATTGCCCAAAGGCCAACCAAGTCTGAAGCTAGTACATTGCTCAGAACAGACCTGCCATTTCTGCTTCTTGTCATGACTTATAGCTTTATTTTCTACTCAGTGAGAGGAAGTTATCAGTATTCAGATGTTACTAAGTTCAGGTGTTACTGGTTTATATTCGTTCTCCTATAAAGCATCTGTTGTTTTCATACCCTTATCATTTACATCAGGACCTTGAGATCATGACGCAGTCCAGGTAAATAAGATTAAGGGTGTTTTGTTTTCACAGAATGGTACAAAAGCAAAATCTATTGCTTAGAAAAAATTAAAGTACTGCTCTCACCTACTTCCCCTTTCCAACTTTATTTTACTGCATTCCCCTAAAAAGTTCCATTGTCAAACCTAAGTATTTTCTTTCACTGTCCCTGGGATAAGTAATTCTATTCACATTTTGGTCATGCCATGCCATTATTTTCTCCAAGACACTTATTACCAGGCCACACTATTCAGCCACATCAATTGTGAAAAATACTGAAATACTTCCTTCCATATAAGCTGATAAATAGCTGCTGTCCTGAGCCAAGTACCCTTTGCTACCTGTCCCCCTTCCTCCAGATTCCATGGATCTCCCCACAATCGAACAAGCAAAGAGTTAATACCTCATGTCCTTCCAGGACCCTACTCCAAAACTATGGCCAACATCTCTTCTGATTGGTCAGTGCCAGTGCCATGCCAGTTTAGATATCATGCCTATTTATCACCATATATATATATGAATGACTAGAGGCATAGACTTCTCTGTTTTGTTCATTGCATTATCCCCAATGTCTCCTTGAACAGTTTCTGACATATAGTGGGCTCTCAAATAATTATTGAAAGAATAAATGAAATGTGCTTTTGCATATGGTACCAAAAAAGATCTAAGACAAGAGAACCACTTGATCAATCAGGATTTGGAAACCACTGGATGAGTCATAAGAGCAAGGAGGCCATATGAGTTAAGTTAGAATGCCTTTTTGGGGACAGCCAAATGGAAAGTCTTTCCTTCAGTTTGGAGACTTGATTCACAGTGTTAACCCTTAATACTTTCCTTTTTTCCAGGCAAGGGAAATATAAGTGAGTATTGGGTTTCAAGTCCCAAATTGCCTCACTAATGACCAGATACTAGGCCAGGAGATAGTTGGCTTACACTTTAAGCCTACAAGGCATGGAGGCCTATGGTAAGGCTGTGAGGTGATGATGAGGCAATCTTGCCAAGGAGTTTGTGCAGCCTTCTGTAATTGTGGAGATTCAATCACCCAGAATAACTAAAATGAACCATTAAGCCTAACTGGCCAGAGCTGTTCCTGTACTTCCTGACAGCTGGGCCTCTGCACACACACAGGAGAAAGAATGAGCACCAATGGGTGCTTAATATCTACTTGTAGAGCTACCCACAGGTAAAGCTCACCTACACAAACCTGGGCACCATCATCAGCATGTCTCCTTTCCTAGGCTAGGAAACAAAGAAGAAACACATGCATTTCACCCCACCTTAGCAAGAATCCAAAGAATTTAGTGTGGCATGTTATTAAAAAGTTCTCTGATATTTCCTGCCTTTTCTTAATAGCTGCCTGTGACTGTCCCTGAACTTCTTCTGAACATATTTCTAGCCCGTTCTACCCCTTCTTTATTTTACTCGTTGATGTATAACCTATTTGTTCTAAATATGCCTTTTTAAATGTTCTAGTAGTACCTGCTAAACATGGCATTTTACATTTTGGTGATCATTTAGTTCCATGATCATCTTCCTAATGTCTCCTTCTTTATGTAACCATCCAAAGATAAAAATAGCTCTTAATCAGGCCCCATTTTCTTGGGGAACTGCTGAGCATGTGGATGGTCACCACAAACTATTTTTTGGATATGTTTCTACTCTTAATTGCACCAAAGAGTTTCTGTTTTGTCTTTCTCAGGACAGCAAAATATCTCAGGTAGAACAAGGTGATGCTCTGCCCTCTTGTTCTGACTCTCATCAACAATTTTCCTTGGAATGGTCTATTTAGTGCCATGATTTTTGGTTGTTGTTTTTGGTTCTTTTTTGCTCCTTTTTTGGTAATTTTGCTGTTTAAAATGGTCCCAAGTGTAGTGCTGAAGCGCTATCTGGTCTTCCTTTCTGTCTGGTCTTCCTTTCTGCTTTTACAGAGAAAATACATGTGTTAGATAAGCTTTGTTTAGGCATGAGTTTAGTGCTGTTGAGTTCAATTTTAATGAATCAACAATATTTGTTAAATAAGATGTCTTTAAACAGAAACACACATAAAACAATATTATATATTAACTAGTTGATGAAAATGTTGTGACCAGAGGCTCACAGGAACCTCACTCTGTATTTCCCCTAGGAGCAGTGTTTCAGTATTCACTAATTCAGTGTTTATGATGACTTTATAAAACATTACTGCAAATAATGAGAATTGATTATAGCTGTCAGTAACTGAACCCACACTACTGTGTCCAACTAAAGAGCAGGTTTGCTAAAAAATACTTATTAAGCAGCTACTATGCACTACACTCTAGGGATACAGGTCTTGCACAAGATGGTCATAGTCCTTAGCTTTATGTATCTTATAGCCTGATGGTGATGTTAAATTTTTAAAATACCTTACAAATATCTGCACTAAAATGTAATCAGCCACCTGAAAGCTCCTCTTCACTTGGTCCTCCATCCAATGAGAATCTTGATAGGCAACATATTAATATATCTTTCCCCACTCATAAAAGAGGTCTAGAAAAAGCCTACTCCAGGTATTGCAGAAAGGTTATTTTGAATGCTAACCGATCACAGCTGTTTGCATCACTCTGCTGAAAACGACTATCATGACATCCTGTATTGAGAAGAAAAAAGTTACTGAAATCTTGTAGTAACCGCTTATATGCCTTGTATTTGTCTAATTCTGTATGGCTTCCCTATGTTTGATATTTCAATGTTTGGAAGCAGATGGTGTCATTGGTCCACATACAGCATGGTGAGATAGACTTTCTGCTTAATCAAGTCTCCACCATGATTCTAGACTCTCTTGCTGTGCATTTAACTGCCTTTCCTATGATTCTGAAAATCATCCTTGTCCAGAACTTCCCATATTGTACTCTGTAATCCTGTATGAACATCTGATCTTTGAATTTGTTTTTGGGACCACATTCTTATCCTCAGAAGGGGAGCCACCAACTTCCTACTTGTATTTATGATTATTCATTCTCTGCTCACCCCTCCCCCTTCCATCACTCAAGAAGCTAATGTATGAAAGCCTTGTTTTCTTTTAGATCCTCTCCCTTTCATCATGCTGGTTTGTATCACCCAGCTGCTTGTGTGATCCAAGTTGGTGTGGGACCCCTCTGGGTCACTGGAGACCAGTGACCTTCTTGTGAACATGGCAACTAATTTCAGTTGTCACTCTGACAATTGCTGTAGCTTCAGGCTTCACAGTACAGAATCTTAGCAGCTGTATTTCTATTACTGCAACCATTTCTGTACCTATTTACTACTTGGGCAATCCTTGCAGTCATTAGATTTGCCAGTCTTCTCCAAATCTGCAAATAGGTTCTTGAGTTCTGCTACAAAATATTTTCTTTAAATTGCTAGAGTAATAAGAGGAGTTTTATTAATCCTCTAGATGGGTTTTGGTGAAAGACAGCAACTTCCCACCTAGATGGTGAACTTCAGTAGGGCAAAGTATGCATTGTCTGTCTCCAATACTATCTGGTGCTGAGCAGAATACTGGCATTTAATATGTGTTTTTTTTTTTTTTTTTCACTAGCTGATGGGGCTAAGTGCCACCTTGGATTCTCACATTTATTGAAAGCCCTGCTTACTTCTTGTATGATATATAAATATGTAATCCTTTATTACATTACTTTTTTAATGGCTTATTCATTGCCACTATATATGCGAGTGGTATTTAACTGTTTCACACCCATTTTTATGTTTTGTTTGACTTTATACAGTATATAATATTGAAAGTTATCAATTTTCTTAATGAAAAGCCACGCATTATAAAGCCATCTCTTACAATTATGTGGTGAAGGTAGGAAGAACAGAAAGCAAGAAAATCAATGTCTTGCCCTTGTCTAAATATTTAAATATAAGGGGAGGAGTTAATATGACTTCTCGTATTGAGTGAGTTATTTGTAAAGATTGAAAGGGTGGATATATTTTCACTAAGAATTCATTATTTGGTGAATGAAAGAGTGTCTGTCCCATTTTAGAAAGAATGCCTTAATATTGTGCTGTGTTTTAGGGCTTGAAGATTTTTTCTTCTACTACTACCACTTCTTGGTTTGCTTGTTTATAGCACTTACCTTGATTGAGTCTTTCAAAAAGAATACATGCTCTAAAATCAGAAGACCCTAGCTTCTCGGGGTTTTTTTTTTTTTTTTTTATGTGGCCTTTATCTCTGTTCTTTGTTCTCTTCTTATCCCCTCAAAATATAGCTGCAGGTAAATTGTAAACTATGAAGCACTATATCCAACTAGCAAAGTATCATTGTCATCATCACTATCACATCCTTTGTAAATCAAGACCAACCGCATAACCCTAGATATTTAAAGAAATTACCAGAATTATATCTTTGGGAAATGGTCTCTGTCAGCCCAAATCTAATATAATAAATGCAAGCACTTTGCCCAGGCAAATTCCTGAAAAGAACACAGTGCCACAGAAACAGTTCAGAAAGTCCTGTGAGTCTTGGTCAATGATTATCTCCTGTTGCAGAGTTAACATGCTTTGGCAACTGACCCGGAGGTGGGAGAGCGAGAAAAGAAGTGACAAAAGCATCAAGATTCCTCAAGTAGATACGTCCTGAAATGAGTTGGAGTAGACTCAGATGTTGTGTTCAGAATAAAAGCCAGGAGATTTGACTATCTCCATACCAGATTATTGCTGTCTTATTTGAAGAATCTTATTTTGCTATGAAGGGTTGAAAACAAACATTCCTGCAGAGAGCTGTTAGTCCTGACCTTTGCTGAGTACATAATATTCTGGGTGAACTATGAACAGAAATATTGTACTGTACTTTCTTGTCTTATAGTTAGAAAAGTTTTCAAATAAAAATTTTGCACGTGTGATATGACAGTTGCAAGTGAGCATTTGAGGAAACTAGAACTTTATTGCATTGGAGGCTATTCCAGGGAGATTACGTGGTAGTCACTCTACATAGGATGGCTTTATTTGGTCAAAATTCTAGTGAGGTGTGACCTTGCAAAGATTTTTCCAGAGTATTTCTGGAGGATGCCGAACTTGAGTGAATTGTTAACATGTCTAACAGTATTCCTGTGGTCACTCCTGAATTGGATTTTTAACTATGTTAGCTCCAGATGCGAAGAAAGTATATAATAATAGAAAATGACTGTTCTCCATCTTTTAAACAGAAAATTTTGTTAATAAAAATTTCTTCAGGCCATCTCACTACATGGTCCCCGAAGCACTTTCTCCTGAGTAAACCAATAGGCTCTGACTCTTTCTCAACCTCTTATGATAAAAACTGTTTTGATGTACTGTTGGATTCAGTTTGCCAGTATTTTGTTGAGGATTTTTGTATCGATGTTCATAAAGGATATTGGCCTGAAGTTTTCTTCTTTTATTGTGTCTCTGCCAGGTTTTAATATCAGGATGATGCTGGCCTCATAGAATGAGTTAGGGAGGAGTCCCTCTTCCTCAATTTTTTGGAATAGTTTCAGCAGGAATGGTACCAGCTCTTCTTTGTACATCTGGTAGAATTCAGCTGTGTATCTATCTGGTTCTGGGTTTTTTATGTTTAGTAAGCTATTTATTACTGACTCAGTTTCAGAGCTCATTATTGGTCTGTTCAAGATTTAATTTCTCCCTGGTTCAGTCTTGGGAGGGTGTATGTGTCCAGGAATTTATCCATTTCTTCTAGATTTTCTAGTTTATGTGCATAAAGGTGTTCATAATATACTCTGATGGCTATTTGTATTTCTGTGGGGTCAGTGTTAATATCCCCCTTGTTTCTGATTGTGTTTATTTGAATCTTCTCTCTTTTCTTCTTTATTAATCTAGCTAGTGGTCTGTTTTATTAATTTTTTTCAGAAAACTAGCTCCTGGATTTGTTGATCTTTTGAATGCTTTTTCATGCCTCAGTCTCCTTCAGTTCAGCTCTGATTTTGCTTATTTATTGTCTTTTGCTAGCTTTGGGATTGGTTTACTCTTGGTTCTCTAGTTCTTTTAGTTGTGATGTTAGATTATTAAATTGAGATCTTTCTAACTTTTTTGATGTGGGCATTTAGTGCCATAAATTTCCCTCTTAATACTGCCTTAGTTGTGTTCCAGAGATTCTGGCATGTTATTTCTTTGTTCTCCTTAGTTTCATAGGACTTCTTGGTTTCTTTCTTTTTGTATGGAGTTTCGCCCTTGTGGCCCAGGCTGGAGTGCAGTGGTGCAATCTGAGCTCACTGCAACCTCCATCTCCAGGGTTCAAGTGATTCTTTTACCTCAGCCTCCTGAGTAGCTGGGATTACAGGCACCCACCACCACACCCAGCTAATTTTTGTATTTGTAGTAGACAGGGTTTCACCATGTTGGCCAGGCTGGTCTCAAACTCCTGAGCTGAGGTGATCCACCCACCTTGGCCTCCCAAAGTGTGGGGATTACAGGCGTGAGCCACCACACCCAGCCAGGACTTCTTGATTTCTGCCTTAATTTCATTATTTACCCAAAAGTCATTCAGAAGCAGGTTATTCAGTATCCATGTACTTGTATGGTTTTGAGTGAAATTGCATTGTCTTGATTTCTAATGTGATTGTGCTGTCTTCCAAGAGATTGTTTGTAATGATTTCATTTCTTTTGCCTTTGCTGAGGAGTGTTTTACTGCTGATTATGTGATCAGTTTTCAAATATATGCCATGCGGCAATAAGAAGAATGTACATTCTGTTTCTTGGGGATGGAGAGTTTGGTAGATGTCTATCAGGTCCATTTGATCCAGTGCTGAGTTTGGGTCCTGAATATCTGTGTTAATTTTCTGTCTTGATTATCTGTCTAATATTGTCAGTGGGTGTTAGACTCCCACACAATAATAGTCGGAGACTTTATGTCTCTTTGAAGGTCTCTAAGAACTTGCTTTATAAATCTGGATGCTCTTGTGTCACGTGCATTTATATTTAGGATAGTTAGATCTTCTTGTTGAATTGAACCCCCACCATTATCTAATGTGCTTCCTTGTCTTTTTTTAATCTTTGCTGGTTTAAAGACTGTGTCTGAAACTAGAATTGCAACACCTGCTTTTTTCTGTTTTCCATTTGCTTGGTAGATTTTTCTTCATCCCTTTATTTTGAGCCTATATATGTCATTGCATGTGAGGTGGGACTCTTGAAGACAGCATACCAATGGGTCTTGGTTCTTTATCCAGTTTGCTACTCTGTGTCTCTTAATTGAGGCATTTAAATCATTTACATTCAAGGTTAGTATTAATATGTATGGATTTGATCCTGTCATCATGCTGTTAGCTGGTTATTTTGCAGACTTGTTTATATGGTTGCTTTGTAGTGTCACTGGTCTGTGTACTTCAGTGTGTTTTTGTAGTGCCTGGTAATGGTCTTTCCTTTCCATATTTAGTGCTTCTTTCAGAAGCTTTTGTAAGACAGGTCAGGTGGTAACAAATTTCCTAAGTATTTGCTTGTCTGAAAAGTATCTTATTTCTCCTTCACTTATGAAGCTTAGTTTGGCTGGTTATGAAATTCTGGGTTGGAATTTCTTTTCTATAAGTATGTTGAATATTGGCTCCCAATCTGTTCTGGCTTGTAGGGTTTCTGCTGACAGGTCTGCTGTTAGTCTGATGAGCATCCCTTTGTAGGTGACCTGACCTTTCTCTTTACCTGCCTTTAATATTTTTTCTCTCATTTTGACCTTGGAGAATCTGACAATTATGTGTCTTGGGGATGATCTTCTTGCAAAGTAACTTCTGGGGTTCTCTGAATTTCCTGAATTTGAATGTTGGCCTCTCTAGCTAGGTTAGGGAAGTTCTCATGGTTGATATCATGAAAAATGTTTTCCAAGTCAGTTCAATTCTCCCCGTCTCTTTCAGGAACACCAGTGAGTCATAGATTTGGTCTCTTTATATAGTCTCATATTTCTCAAGAGGTTTTGTTCATTGATTTTCATTACTTTTTCTCCATTCTTCTCTGACTCTCTTATTTCAGAAAGCCAGTCTTCAAGCTCTGCAGATTCTTTCCTTGCTTGGTCTATTCTGCTATTAATACTTATGATTCCATTATGAAATTCTTGTAGAGTGTTTTTAAGCTCTATCAGGTTGGTTACATTATTTTCTATACTGGCTATTTTGTCTGTTAGTTCCTGCATTGTTTTATTATGATTTTTAGCTTCCTTAGATTGGATTTTAATGTACTCCTGTAGCTCAGTGATCTTTGTTCCTATCCATATTCTGAATTTTATTTCTGTTATTTCAGCCATCTCAGCCTGGTTCAGCACCCTTGCTGGAGAGGTGATATCATCATTTGAAAGAAAGAAGGCACTCTGGTTTTTTGAGTTGTCAGGGTTCTTGCACTAATTCTTTCTTATTTTTATGGGCTTATCTTACTTCGGTCTTTGAGGTTGCTGACCTTTGGATGGGTTGATTTTATTTGAACGGGTATCCTATTTGATGACCTTGATTGTTATCAAATTGTGATTGTGATATAAGGTGGATTCAGCTGACTGGCTTCATTTCTGGAAGATTTTAGGGAGTCAGTGCTCAGCTCCCACCTCCTGGCCTGTGTGCTCTAACTCTGGGGAACTTGTATTGGGGCCTTGACTTTGTTCTCTGGCTCCTTAAGGTTAAAAATCCACTGTGCTGGAGGTGGCCAAGTTGCTCCCAGACTGCTGGTCACTACACTTCAATGGGTGGTGTCATCCAAAGCATTTTATAGTGCAGTGACAGCAGGCTCCATCCTCATTCACACATGTCAGCAGTAATGGTAGCAGCAGCAGGGTGCCTGCCTCCCTGTGGTCATTCACCACAGTGATAGAGGTAATGCAGCTGTTGGGGAAGACGGCCAGAGGGGCCCCTGCTGGTGACTGTGTGCATGGTCATGTTGGAGGTGGTGTTGACTCAGGAGCAGGACACTAGTGGGCACAGGTCTAGGTGCCTTCTTTGTGCTCTGCAAGCAGGAGTGGTTGCTCAGGGTGGGGGAGGATCTGCTGTTCTCTGCACAGTATTAGCACAAGGGTGGGGCACTGGAAGGGGTGGGGCTGGCTGGCTCTGTGCCCACCAAGGCTCCATCTGCAATGGTGGTCAGTAGAATGAGGTGAGGCAGACTGCACTCTCATGTGCTAGCAGGGCAATAAAAGCAAAACCCACTCATGCAAACACACACCAGCAAAACATTTGGGGAATTGCCATGGGCCCTAGGGGGGAAGCCGCAGTATGGGGAGGGAGTATGTGGGCTGGTATGTGGCAGTAGGAGCCACCCTGTTGGAGCTCTCTGCCAGTCAGGCATGGTCTGCCACCATAAAAACCATGGTGTGGGCCCCCAGGGCACCTGAGACTATTCTGTAAGCAGGTGTGGCCAGGCTGAGGCCCCAGGAGAGGCCACCATACCAAGGGTTGCTCAGGTCACACTGGCCCCATCTGATGGGCAAGATTGCCCTGCAGAATTCAGGACCGACAGTTCCCCTAGGGCTAAAGTCTCCTATAGGAACAAGTCAAGCCTAGTGGGATAGCTGTTCCTGACTGTGCTCTGCTACAGACACGCCCACACCAAACCCTCCAGGCTCCACTTCAGCTGGCTGTCCCTACCACTTCTCTAAGCAGCTCTCTGCCAATTCAAGTGTCCATGGTGGTTGAGAGGTCTCTTCCTGCCAAGGTTCCAGAGGCCCATGGTGAGAGTGGGTTGCTCCTTGTCAGTTCAACTCATTCGTTCCCCTAAAGCCATTGGGAATCAGGAACAAGTCCAAGTGTGCTGTATCCCCATGTAGGGTTTCCAGCTTTCTCCCCTTTCAGCCCAGCTTCTGTGTCTTCCCTTCATTCATAGTGTCTTCCCTTTGAAGATCTGTTAGGAGCATGCTAGTCGTCTCAGTCCCTTGGTGGAAATGATTCCACCTGTCTGTGTCTAGTTGGCCATCTTGCCCTCCCCCTCTACTTTCCTTTATTTTACCTCAAAAGAAAACTGAATTTAACCCAAAGCTGCTTCATCTCTTTGAATTTATACTGTTCCTTTGAGTATCCTTAAAGTCCCATTATAAGCACTACCTTCCATAAAGCTTTGCCCAGTTCTTCTAACCTCATTGATCTGCCTCTGCTGCTCTGCTCTGAACTTAATCCCTATTTTTAGGCCCTTATCCTTAACCTTGCAGAAGAGTCGCTTGTGTTCCTGTCTTGGGTCCCCCTATGTTTCCACAGGCAGAAAACTGCATGCCTTATCCATTCCTCCACTCCCTATGGTGCTTAGCTTGGCATCTTCCTAACACAGGCTAGATGGGCTGTGTCTGTTGCCGCATATGCACATTGTGAAGCAATATGTCATAGACCTCCAAGATAACTAGTATCATCTCTTCATTTTAACATGAGAAAACTGAGATGTACAAAGGCACTCAAAGGTGCAAACTCAAGGTCATTGGTGAGATGGTGGCAGAGCTAGGTCACGTGACTCCCTGTAAATTACCACCTTCTAAAATGTAGAGGGAAATATGATGTCATGGGAGAGTATTTTGTGGTCATGAAATAGTATGGATTGCCTATATCCTGATGGAAATAATACAGCAGAGGGGAAAATCGATGATGCAATGATTGTAAGAGGGAAGTTATCAAGTAGGTAAAAGGGGGAAAAATCCAGTACACAAATAGAGGACTTAGAAACTAGCCTGGACAATTTACCTATAGTGACAGGATGGGATACTGAGTGTGTGGGCATAGATGTAGGTACACTGGTAGATATCAAGAGCATGTGGAGGTTTCCTTCTGAACTTTTCTATTTTTCTATTGAATAAGAAGTATGGTTTACAGATAAAAATGGTTTATGGGTAAAAATGAGGAGGAGGCAGAAGACATTGTAGGTTTGAAGAGAGAAGAGATAAAAGTTTTTCTAGGAGAGTGGGAAAGGGAATTGATGAGGGAATCATAGTATGATTTCAGGCAGCTGTGACCATTAAGGTTTGTGGTCAAACAATGTTTTTCAGTGGAGATGCTGTCAGTGTTTCAGGCAGGCATCTTCCTTGGCATTTAGCATCCCTGGCCCTTGGTAGTACCCCTCAATCATTGTGCTGATCAAAATGTTCTCTGCCCCACTTCCAAACACTGCCCAGGGAACTGAACCTTTCCTGGTTGAGGACCACAGAGAGACCAATCACAAAGTTGCATAGTTTTCTTCAGTCACATTCAGATGTTGGCAGGGACTATGCAAAATCTGGGTTTATGAGTGTTAGGGTTAGACAGAAAAGGACAGTGAAAATAGACAGAGTCAAAGGAATTGAAAGTGTATGTAATGCAGTAATTATAACAGATTTTATGAACAACAAAATACCTCTGCTGGCCTGAGGCAACTCAGGACACCACAGTGGGAAGGGAATTCCTGGCTACCATTGATGAACATTTGGACATGTGTCCAATTTTGGGCTATTATTAATAAAGCTTATATGAATATTTTACACATATCTTTGGGTCGACATATGCATTTATTTCTGTTAGTAATATACACAGAGAAATAGAGTTCTCTTGGGACTTGCTTGATCAAAGGGAATACGTATCTTTAGCTTTATTTAAAATTGCTGTATATTTCCTTAAAAATTACACATACACATACTATGACTTAGCCATTCCATTTCTGGTATTTACCCAAGAGAAAATAAAGTGTATGTCTGCACACACAAAGACTTGCAAATTAATATTCATAGCAGCTTTATTTGTAACAGCAAAGAACCAGAAACAACCCAAATGTTCACCAGCAGGTAAATGGATAAACAAATTGATGTGTAGCCATACGACAGAATAACATTCAATAAAAAACAAAGCAAACAAAATGACTTCTGATACACACAACATGGGTGAATCTCAAAATAATTGTTTTGGGTAAAGAAGCTAGACACAAAGAATACATACTATGTGATTTCATGTATATAAAATTCTAGACAATACAAGCTAATTCATAGTGCTAGAAAGCAGATCAGTTGTTGGCTGCGTGTAGTGAGGATTGATTAGAGAGAAAGGGAAGAATTGCAAAAGGCATGAGGAAACTTCTGGGAATGTGGACATGTTCATTTTTTTTGGCATGGTAATGGATTCATGGGTATATACATATGTTAAAATAAAAATATCAAATTGTACACATTAAGAATGTGCAATTGGGCTGGGCATGGTGGCTCACGCCTGTAATCCCAGCACTTTGGGAGGCCGAGACGGGTGGATCACAAGGTCAGGAGATCAAGACCATCCTGGCTAACACGGTGAAACCCCATCTCTACGAAAAATACAAAAAAAAAAAAAATTAGCCAGGCATGGTCGTGGGCACCTGTAGTCCCAGCTACTCAGGAGGCTGAGGCAGGAGAATGGCGTGAACCTGGGTGATGGAGCTTGCAGTGAGCTGAGATTGTGCCACTGCACTCCAGCCTGGGTAACAGAGTGAGACTCTGTCCCAAAAAAAGAAAAAAAAAAAAAGAATATGCAATTGATTGTATATGAATTATACTGAAAGCTGTGAAAAATTTTTAAAAAATGACTGAGGTTTTCCACAGTGGTTGAACTATTTTAAATTCCTGTCAGCAATGTGTGAGAATTCTAGTTGTCTACCACATCTTTACCAAAAATTGATCTTAATTAGTGCCTTTAATTTAACCATTTGGTTGTAGTGTAGTGGTGTCGCATTGTGGTTTTCATTTGTATTTTTCTGATGTCTAATGATATAAACTTCCTTTTTCATATGCTTATGAGTCATTTGAAAACACTCTTTTGTTGTGTGTCTATTTCCAGTATTTCTCCCTTTTTATTGAATTCCTTAAATTTGTAGTTCTGACTAAGTCCCTTGTCATATGTATTACCTATCTTCCAAAAATCTTCTCACAGTCTGTGGCTTGCCGTTTCACTCTATTGTCTTTGTTGAATAGTTCTTAATGAAATCCAATTTATTACGCTTTTCTCTTTAGCACTTTATATATCTTGTTTAAAATGTTTTAACCTATCTAAAATAATGAAGATTTTTTTTTTCTAGAAGTTTCATTGTTTTAGTTTTCATATGTAAGCTATCACAATTTTTATTTTGGTGTGATGTGAAGTAGAGGATTAATGCTTCTTTTTATTTTAATGGATTCCAATTGACACAATACTGTTCAATGAGAAGACTGGCTCCTCTTGCACTCAATTGCAATGGCACCCTTGTCACAAATCAAGTGACCAAATGAAAACCATTTCTTATGCTTCATTTGTAATTTTTCTTTGCCATGTTTATAGGTTTTATATCAAGAATGTGCTGATCTCGTAAAATACGTAGAGACCAGAGGGTCTCCTTTATATGCTCTGAAACATCTGTACTTTAGAAATTATATATTCTTGACAATTTTGAAATACTTAACCCGTAGTTCTACATGGGGGATAAGGTAAAAAACAAATGAAATACTTAACCTTAAAGCTATTTTTATCCAGTCAGCGTCCAATCAAGGAAACAGAAACCACTCGAGTATTTAAATAAGAAGGTGATATGGTTAGGCTTTGTGTCCCCACCCAAATCTCATCTTGAATTGTAATCCCCATAATCCCCATGTGTCAAGGGAGAGACCAGGTGGAGGTAATTGAATCATGGGGACGGTTCCCCCATGCTGTTCTCATGACAGTGAGTGAGTTCTCATGAGATCTGATGGTTTAATAAGGGGCTCTTCCCCCTTCGCTTGATACTTCTCCTTGTTGCTGCCTTGTGAAGAAGGTGCCTTGCTTCCCCTTCATCTTCTGCCATGTTTGTAAGTTTCCTGAGGTCTTCCCAGCCATGCAGAACTGTGAGTCAATTAAACCTCTTTCTTTTATAAACTACCCAGTCTTGAACAGTTTTTTATAGCAGTATGAAAATGGACGAATACAGAAGGAATTTAATGCAGGGAATTAATTATACACATGATGGAAGGAGCTGAAAAGCCAACCAAATGGAATTTGCAATAGCAGATGCCCTCCCACTTCTAACCAGCGGGGAACAAAAGGAGGAGGTGATATCACTGCAGTTGAAAGGTTGAAGTCATCAAGTGGAAGCTGGAACCATGTTGATGTGACTAGAAGAAGCTGAAACTAAGAAAAGAGGTAACCAGTGTGGGAGACTCCACCAGAGGCAGAGTAGAATGGGACAAAAACAATCAAACAAAAACTTAAAAACCTGGCTTATCCCCTCCCCTAGTCTCCAGCCTCTTGCTGTTACCTCCCGATTCCTGAATCTACCAGAAGCCAGCTGACATTGGAGCCTCGGAAGCATGCCCTGCAAGGGCCAGCCTCAGGAGGATAATGCCTAGAAGGGGAAGGTTACAGAGTGATCTAGGGGCAGAAGGCCCAGGACTAGTACCCTATCTGACCCAGACCCTTTCTCTGGAGTTAGTAATTGGTTTTTCTTCTAATTCTTGAGTCAGTTTTGGTTATCTCTATTTTCCAAGAAAATCATCTATTTTACTGAGGTTTTTAAATTAGTGTAAAATTATATTTTATCATGTAAAATCTCCGTGTTTATAGTTAATTTCTTCTTCTTATTCTAATTTTGTGTATGCATAAGCTTAAATATTTTTCTGCATTTGTGACAATTGCCTAGGGACAGGCAATTTTATTTAACATGTTCCTCTGACCCTTGTCCATTCTTTGATTAATAAATAGGTCTAGAAGCTGATCCAATTCAGGATCAGTTATTTTGGCATAAGTCCTTCACAGGCAGTATGTACTTCCATCAGGGGCCATGTAAACATAAATGTCCTTTTTGATGTTAATAGCTATTGTTGACTATTGCCTAGATACATTAGGAGTTGCAAATGCTGAAAAACTAATTTTATCATTCTTTATTTGTTTATCAACTGGAACAATTCTTTAAAGAGAAGCTATCCCTCATCACTATTTGATCACTCTTAACTGTCTGTTGACTTGCATTTTTACCCTTTTATTTTTACTTTTCCTTTATACCTGACTTCCTTTACCAAAATAATAATCTTTTCTCTAAAGGTACAGACCCCAGAATTTTTGCAGAGATGCTTATGTAATTTTTAATTTAATTTTTTTGGTAAACAATACAAAATTCAAAAGGTTTAAAAGGGCATAGCATAAAAAGTAATCATTTTCCCCCTACCTCCAGCCACTCAGTTCTCTCTTTGGAGGCAACCACTGTTACAAATTTCTTATGGTAGTTTCCAGAGATATCAAAACTATATATTCAAATGATAAAGCAAATGGGTTAAAATGACAATAATGAGTGAATCTGGGTAACAGGTGTATAAGTGTTCTTTATATTGTTTTATTTGTACAACTTTTGTAAGTTTTAAAGTATTTCTAAGTAAACAGTAATATGCACATTAAATAATATATATTATATATATACTTTTTGTTTAGTAACTCAAATGATACTAACTGTACACGCCGTCCTGCCCCTTGCTTTTCTCATTAAACCATATTATCTTGAAGATCTGTCCATTAGAACATATAGAGATGGCCTCATTCTTTTTAAAGATTGCTATCATTGCATGTATGGGGATATGATATAATTTATTTTAAAAACAGACATTTAAGTTGTTTTAAATCTGTGGCTACTACAAACAGTGCTGCAGTGAATGCCTGCATACACAGTCATTTCTCATGTGTGGGAGTGTGTCTGTAGAATCAATACCTAGAAGCTCAACTGCCACATCAAAGAAAGGGTATGTGAACTTTTAAGTTTAATAGTAATCACCAAATTAACCTCTCTAGGGAATATTCTAAGCCAGCTGACTCAGGAGCCCAGGAAGCACACCTTGCAAGGGCCAGCCTCTGGAAGATTTTTTTTTTTTTTAAGACAGTGTCTTGCTCTGTCGCCCAGGCTGGAGTGCAGTGGTGCGATTTCAGCTCACTGCAGCCTCTGCTTCCTGGGTTCAAGCAATTCTCCTGCCTCAGTCTCCCAATTAGTGGGGATTACAGGTGCCTGCCACCAAGCAAGGCCAATTTTTGTATTTTTAGCAAAGATAGGGTTTCACCATGTTAGCCAGGCTGGTCTCAAACTGCTGGCCTCAAATGATCCACCCACCTTGGCCTCCCAAAGTGCTGGGATTACAGGCTTGAGACACCACGCCCGGCCTTGGAGGATAATTTTTTAAAGTGCTGGCTTCCTCAAACTCTGAGCTACACAGTGAATTTTAGAACTCTTTGGTCATTTCCAATCTGATAGTTGAAAACATCAAATTTCTTTGTAGTTGTAATTTTTTACATTGCTCTTTTGTTTAAGAGTTGTCATCTTTTCTGTGAACTACCTGCTTATATTCTTCACCTTCTCTGTTGCACTACTGGCACTTTTTTTTTTTTTTTTGATGGAGTCTCACTCTGTTGCCCAGGTTGGAGTGCAGTGGCACGATCTCTGCTCACTGCAAGCTCTACTGGCTTTTTTATAGATGATTTGTAGGAGGCCTTTATATATTAAAGTTAGCCTCTTGTCTGATGTATTATAACATTTTTTAGCTGGAAATAACCCTACAATAATCTAGTTCAGCACTATCATGTTCCAAGCTTTAAAATTGACTTAAGGCTGTTAAATGACTTACAAATGTTAGAACACAGCCCAGGATTTTTGACTTTTAGTTTAATAATTTTTGCAATGTACCATGCCAGCTCTAAAGAAGAAAGAACCAATACCCATCCTCTCAAAACATGTAAGCATTGAGATTTCAAGATTTTGCCCCTCAGTGTCCCCATTTATCCTTGCCAATCCACTTAGGGACACAGCTCCCAACTTAATGTATACTTTCTGGATTCACCAGACATCAGTCTTCATCAAATGTCTTCCACCCCATGAACAAAACGACTTCTTGACTTTTCCTACAATTTCTCATTCTTGAGTCAGTTCTTCAACCTGGACTTACTGAGCTCCTGTTAAATGAAGATTCCTGCATTGGGCTTGATAAGAAGATACAAAAGAAATGGAAAATTCATTCCCTGCCTTACCGAACAGTCCATTTGAGAAAACAAAGCAAACACCAAATTTATTTGAAAATGAGCTCATAATTACTTGCTAATGCTCAAGGCAAACAAATCAAACAGGTGATTAAATGGATTTGTATTAATCAAAAAAGGATCCCTGCAAGTGTTTACTGTAGATTTAGAAAGAAGCAATGTATATGGATTATAACAATATCAGCTAACACATTCGGTACTGTCAAGTCCTCAGCATCACAGACATCATCTCTTTTAATCTGAATGTTGGTACTTTTTTCTTTTCCTCATTTTACACATGCATAAACTGTAGAATAATAGACTAAATGACTTGTTCAGACAGCCTGGAAAGGGCCCAGGGCTTCTCTCTCCAGGACGTCTGGTCTATCCACTATGGCATGCTGCTTCAGTTTGGCAAAGAAATAGACAGAAATGGGGCCGGGGTTTGGGTGGAATGAATTAGTAGAGAGTCAGATTTGACCTCCGTTAAGAAACCCTGTAGTAAAGTGAGAAGACTATAATTTTGGATTCAGACTAGATTTGAGTATGTCTTGCTACTTATAAATTGTGACCCTGGCAGGTTACTTATCGTCTGAATCTCAATTTTCTCAAATGCAAAACACAGTTAATAGTATCTACTCCTCTTTAGAGTTATCTGACATATAGTAGGTGTCTGATAAATGGCAGCTATCTTAGCAAATATTGGGCTAGAATGAGAAATAGATTGTTTTTTTTTTCTTTCATATGTTGTTGATTGACTTGGTTGCTGCAAAGAGAGTAAAGGACAAAAGTCACACAAACCCCAAAAAGGTTTAGAGTACTAGGGGAAAGCACCATGATTATTTCCTCAAACTCTTAACTTCTCTTCTTCCCCACTGTCCTAGCAGGAAGGTTTTTATAGGTGTAAGGAAGAACTTCCAGAGAAGAGTTGAGAAACTCTTGCTCTCAAAAGGCCAGATTGCTCAGGATTCAGTCCTACTTAGTATAGCAAATGAGATGAAGTGCATACAAAGTGCACTGCAATTGTTAAGGTAAGTTCCGGACTTGATGAGAGAGTGGGCTCAACATAGCTGTTGCCACTTTCCAGCTGTGTATTTTTAAACAAATAAGCTCATGGCCTTGCTCCAGAGACACCTGCAAAGTGGGCTAGTAATTCCTACCTCATGGGATTTCCAATGATCAAATTAGATAATTCAGTGAACAAACACTTATAGGATACTCACTGTGATGGTTAATTTTATGTCAACTTGGAGAGTGTTTTTGGATGAGATTAACGTTTAAATCAGTGAACTCTGAGGAAACAGACCCTCCAGATGTAGGTGAGTCTCATCCAATCAGCAGACTGCCATCGGGTCTCTGCCTCCTGTCCACTCTCCTGGGACTCCAGCATGCTGCAGATTTTTGACTTGCCATCCTCCATAACTGCATGAACCAATTCCTATCATATATTTCTTTCCATATGCTCAGCCCTCCATATCCATGGGTTTCACATCTGTGAATTCAACCATGGATCAAAAATATTTGAAAAAAAGTGCATCTATACTGAACATGTGGAGACTTTTGGTCATTATTTTCTAAACAATACAGTATAACAACTATTTGCATAGCATTTCCATTGTATTAGGTATTACAAGTAATGCCATATCTAGAGGTGATTTAAAGTATATGGGAGAATATGTATAGGTTATATGCAAATACTATGCCATTTTATGTCAGGGACTTGAATAGCTGCAGATTTTCATTTCTGAGGGAGGTTCTAGAACCAAACCCCCATGGATACCGAGGGATGACTATATATATGTGTGTGTGTGTGTGTGTGTGTGTGTGTGTATATATATATATATATGTGTATATGTGTATATATACATATGTGTGTATATATATGTGTATATATACATATGTGTGTATATATATGTATATGTATACACACACACATACACAGTGGAGGCTATACTCCTATTGGTTCTGTTTCTCTGGAGAACCTTCACTAATACACTTACTAGGAGTCAGGCACTGTTCTAGGCCCTGGAGATGCACTGAAAGAGACAGACAAGGTCTCTCAGGGAACAGATATTTTTGTGGAGAGGGAGTCAAACAATAAATAAGCAAATAAGGCAATATCAGGTAGTGATATGAATAAAATAAGATGAGGTACTAATAGTGAGTGGGGAAGCTTCTTTGGATTGGGTGGGCTTGGATGAAGCATATTAAAGACAGGGAATTGTAATGGTTTTTAGGAACAAGCTCAACAGCTTCCAGCTTGAGCACCTGCAGCTTCTCCAGGTACAAGGTGCTTGAACAGAGAGGAAGACAGTGTGCCTGGGAACAGCACAGGTGAGAGAAAGTGTGATAGGAGATGAGGGAGGTAATGTTGCAAGGGCTACATCAGATAGGCCTAGTATTCTTGTGTTAAAGAATTTACATTTGTATTCTAAGTGCAATTGAAACCACTGAAGGATTTGGTGTCATGCTCTCTTCTCTTTCTCTCTCTGAGATAGATAGACAGATATTGTGTTAAGTTGTTCCTGCGTTATTATAAAGAACTACCTGAGATTGGGTAATTTGTAAAGAAAAGTTTAATTCATTTAACTTTCTTTTAATTAAACTTCTTTTAATCATGCTGGCTCATGGTTCTACAGGCTGAACAAGCATAGGATCAGCATCTGCTCAGCTTGTGGGGAGGCCTCAGGGACCTTTTACTCATGGCAGAAGGCAAAGCAGGAGCTTGTATGTCACATGGTGAAAATAAGAGGAAGGGGGAGGTGCCACAAACTTTTAAACAACCAGATCTTGCGAGTACTCACTATTGTGAGGACAGCACCAAACCATGAGGGATGTGCCCCCATGATCCAGTCACCTCCCACCAGGCATTACCATTCAGGACATAGGCATGGGCAAGGACTTCATGTCTAAAACACCAAAAGCATTGGCAACAAAAGCCAAAATTGACAAATGGGATCTAATTAAACTAAAGAGCTTCTGCACAGCAAAAGAAACTACCATCAGAGTGAACAGGCAACCTACAGAATGGGAGAAAAGTTTTGCAATCTACTCATCTGACAAAGGGCTAATATCCAGAATCTACAATGAACTCAAATCAATTTACAAGAAAAAAACAACCCCATCAAAAAGTGGGCAAAGGATATGAACAGACACTTCTCAAGAGAAGACATTTATGCAGCCAAAAGACACATGAAAAAATGCTCATCATCACTGGCCATCAGAGAAATGCAAATCAAAACCACAATGAGATACCATCTCACACCAGTTAGAATGGCAATCATTAAAAAGTCAGGAAACAACAGGTGCTGGAGAGGATGTGGAGAAATAGGAACACTTTTACACTGTTGGTGGGACTGTAAACTAGTTCAACCATCGCAGAAGTCAGTGTGGCAATTCCTTAGGGATCTAGAACTAGAAATACCATTTGACCCAGCCATCCCATTACTGGGTATATACCCAAAGGATTATAAATCATGCTGCTATAAAGACATATGCACACGTATGTTTATTGTGGCACTATTCACAATAGCAAAGACTTGGAACCAACCCAAATGTCCAACAATGATAGACTGGATTAAGAAAATGTGGCACATGTACACCATAGAATACTATGCAGCCATAAAAAATGAAGAGTTCATGTCCTTTGTAGGGACATGGATGAAGCTGGAAACCATCATTCTCAGCAAACTATCACAAGGACAAAAAACCAAATACCGCATGTTCTCACTCATAGGTGGGAATTGAACAATGAGAACATATGGACACAGGAAGGGGAACATCACACACCGGGGCCTGTTGTGGGGTGGGGGGAGGGGGAAGGGATAGCATTTGGAGATTTGGAGATATACCTAATGTTAAATGACAAGTTACTGGGTACAGCACACCAACATGGCACATGTATACATATGTAACTAACCTGCACGTTGTGCACATGTACCCTAAAACTTAAAGTATAATAAAAAAAAAAAAGAAAATATTTCTAACAAGTAGTCACTCCATAACCTGCTTGGATTTTTCCCCTATAAAAGCCTTTTCTTTCTTTGCTATGGGCTAGGCTGCAAATTTTCCAAATTTTTATGCTCTGCTTCTCTTTTAAGTATCAATTCCAACTTTAGATCATTTCTTTGTTCCTGCATCTGAGTTAGGTTGTTAAAAGCAGCCACACCACATCTTGAATGCTTTGCTGCTTAGAGATTTCTTCCACCAGATACCCTAAATCATTACTCTTAAGTTCACATTTCCACAGATCCCCAGGGCATGAACAAAGTACAGCTGAGTTCTTTGCTAAGGCATAACAAAGGTGACTTTTGCTCCAGTTCTCAGTAAGTTCCTCATTTCCATCTGAGACCTTGTCAGCCTGGACTTCACTGTCCATATCACTATCAGCAATTTGGTCACAACCATTTAACCAGTCTCAAAGATGTTCCAAACTTTCCCTCATCTTCCTGTCTTCTTTTGAGCGTCCACACTCTTCCAACCTCTGCCCATTGCCCAGTTCCAAAGGTGCTTCCATATTATCAGTTATCTTTATAGCAAGACCCCACTCCTGGTACAAATTTTCTATGTTAGGCTGTTCTTACATTGCTATAAAAAATACCTGTGACTGGGCATGGTGGCTCACACCTGAAATCCCAGCACTTTGGGAGGCCAAGGCAGGCGGTCACCTGAGGTCAGGAGTTCGAGACCAGTTTGGCCAACGTGGTGAAACCTCATCTCTACTAAAAATACAAAAAGTAGCTGGGTGTGGTGGCACATGCCCATAATCCCAGCTATTCAGGAGGCTGAGGCAGGAGAATCACTTGAACCCAGAAGGTGGAGGTTGCAGTGAGTTGAGATCATGCCACTGCACTCCAGCCTGGGTGACAGAGTGAGACTCCATCTCAAAACAAACAAACAAAAAGAAATACCTGAGACGGGTACAAGGCAAAATGAACTCTACGTAAAAAGAGAAAAACAACCAACCCCTGAGACTGGGTAATGTATAAAGAAAAGAGGTTTCATTTGGCTTACAGTTCCACTTTATAGGAAGCATGGTGCTGGTTTCTGCTCAGCTTCTGGGGAGGCTTCAGTGAGCTCTTACTCATGGCAGAAGGCAAAGTGGAAACCCACACGTTACATGGCAAAAGCAGAAGCAAGGGGAAGGGAGGAGGTGACACACACTTTTAAAAAATCAAATCTCACAAGTACTCACTATTGTGAGGACAGCACCAAGGCATGAGGGATCTGCCCCCATGATCCAATTACCTCCCACTAGGCCCCCCTTCCAACATTGGAGATTATATTTCAACATGTAATTTAGACTATAGGTAGGACAAATAACTAAACCATTTCAGACATAGATATCTTAAATTGAAGTGAAATTTACATAACATAAAATTAACCATTTTGACGTAAACATTTTCAGTGACATTTAGTGCATTCATAATGTTGTGCAACTGCCACTGATTTATATTTTGAAAACATCCTTCTGGTTGCTATGTGGAAAAGGGATAGTGGGGTGGTCCTATGGTCTGAATGTCTGTGTCCCCCCAAAGTTCATATGAAAATCTTAACGTCCAATGTGATGGTGTTAGGATGGAGAGCCTTTGGGAGGTGATTAGGTCAGGAACCCTGATGAATGGAATTTGTACCCTTATAAAAGAGGCTCCAGAGGACTGCCTTCCTCTCTCATTTTTTATTTCTTTTTTAATAAAGATGAGGTGTCATCATATTACCCAGGCTGATCTGGACCTTCTGGGTTCAAGTGATCCTCCCACATCAGCATCCCAAAGTGCTGGGATTGCAGGTGTGAGCCACCATGTCCAGCTTGCCTTGTTCTTTCACCATGTAAGGACACAGACAGAAGGTGCTCTCTGTGAACCAGGAAATGGGGCACTGTTTCTGCTGGCATCTTAATCTTGGACTTCCCAGCCTTCAGAACTGTAAGAAACAAATTTCTGCTATTTATAAGCCACCCAGTATATGGTGTTTTGTTTTAGTAGCCTAAGTGGACTAAGACAGTGGGGGAGCCAGGGAACAAGAGAAGAAACATGTCTGGAGGCCAGCGCTGTGTCCAGGCAAGAGATTATGGTGGCTAGGGTATAGCAGAAAGGATGAAGAGAAATGGCAGATCTATAGGGCATATTTTTTAGGAAAAGTCAACAGGGCTTTCTAACAGATTCAATGGACCATGTAAGAAAAATATGATATATATGAAAGTACTCTGTAAACTTCATACACTTGAAATGTTAACATCATTATGAAGAACAGGGCTTCATGATCATTAAAGAGAAAGAGCTTGACTGGATGGTCTCTCAAGATCCCTCTGAGTCCTGAAATCCTCTGATGCTTTAAAGGTGGGTAAACTGCCTTTGGTACAAAGGGGAAGAATTATTTAAAGATTTTCTTGATCCCATGCAGTGTCCAAGTGCTTTCAGAGGACAGTCCAGGGCATCATCCAACCACACACTCAGTGAGAACAGGCAAAGCCTGCCTTCCTCCAGCCAGCAGGACTACGTCATGGCCTGGAGGCGAGCATGGGAACTGGCAGGCCTGGGCTCAGCATCCCAGACACTACACTCCTAAGAGGGAAGTGCCCTGACGCCTGGGCTCTCAGACCTCAGCGATGTCCAGTAAAAACACACTGGGTGGTGAGGCCTGGGGCCAGAGAAGGGAAAGTGCTTCCAGCAGTGCAGCCCTGTGTGGATGACTTTTGCTGGCAGTGAGCATGCCTTAAAGGCTATAGCACAGCTCCCAGAGTCCCCAGGGGCTGGAGGCTGAGATCTTTCACACAAGTGAGGCTCATATCAGACCCTGTCAGTATCCAGATCATGTTCAGGTGGCAAGGGTCTTCAAGAAAGACACTCTCCAAAAGACACTTTTTTTCCTCCCTCCTTTCTTCTGCTTTGAAGAGTGTGCCGTTAATCAAAATCTATGTGGTTTATAATCTTCACAACCTCCTCTGGAAAAACTGACCTCTTTTTCATATAAGATTTAGCTTTAGATAGTTAGGTTTCAACTGGGCTGGGAAAACTTTTCTTAACAGAGAGTTTCTCCCTAAGCAAATAAAGAAGCTGAATTAACTGTTTAAAGTTCCTGAGTAATAATACCACTGCTATTATAACTTGTGAAATGGTCCTTCTTCCATCAGAGAGAACAAACAGCTCTTAGACACCACCAGAACGATGGTTTTCAAAGTGTGGACCCCAGACTAACAGCACTGCCATCTGCGTCTCCTAGCACCTGTTAGAGATACAAATTCTAGGGCAGCATTCCTGACCTACTGAATGATAAACTCTGAAGGTGGGGCACAGAAATCTGTGTTTTAAAATGCCTTTAAAGAGGTTTTGATATACACTCAAGTTTGAGAACCACTGCATTAGAGAAACAGAGAAATGTGGAGCCACAGAAAGTCTGAGTAGAGGAATTAGGTATGCACCTGATCACATGATGGATGGAGAAAGGAAGGCCACAGAGAGAGAAGGTGACTTGTCCTAGAAGACACAGAGGACAGGTCACCTTTTGGTCTCTGGGTTCTCCCTCCCTTCCCAAAGGAAGACTCAGATTTTTCTTTTGAATTATATTTTTCCCAGAAGTTTTAGCTGTTCACTTTCCCATTAACTTTTAACAATTTACTCCATGTGTTTACATAAATCTGGTCATTTTATAGTGTAGAAAGTATATGACACTGAAATGCTCAAGAGATCTCAAAGAGAATGTGGCTTAGGTTGGGTTCCCTGAAAGCAGACTTGGTGACAGAGACTAGCATGCAGAAGGTTTATTGGGTATGTTTCCAGAGATGCACTTACAAGGATAGGTGGGGGAGAAATTGACCCTTCATATGTTGTAACTGAGGCCTTACCAATGCTACAGGGAGTGCTGGAGCTGAGATGAGCCTTCAGAATTGTCTCCTACTAAAGCCAAGGGCCCAACCATTGTATCTCTGCATCAGGCAGTCATTGGCTATTGAGCCATGCCTGGGAGGGGCCTTAGTCTGGAGCCAGATAGTTCTCTGCCAAGGTCATTGCCTAGGAAGGGACACAGCTGTGAGCCATCAGCAGCTGGAGGCTTGTGCCTCAGCCCTGAAGTGGGGATCTGGACACAATATGAAAGTATTGTCCACAGAAGGCATTCCAGATTTGGGATGGTTGGGGCAGGGTCAGAAAAAATCACCTGCTGAAAGTAGAGACAGAAAACCCCAAGACACGATATCAAAAGAATCTGATCCTAAGAGAAAATGTGTTGCTCATAAGACTAAAATATTTATCATCTCTGCTAAATGCTCCAAAATCTAGTAAAGAAGATGATGGTATGTGCCAGAGCTTTCCAACAGATCTGTCAGGGCCAACTGATGAGCAACAATGAGTCACAGATGTGTGGGGATTTTTACTTCCTGTAGATCTCAGGGTGGCAGAACAGGACCTGGGATGGCTAGAATCCTTCTGTCAATTCATACACATATTGTTGCATGAGTGCATTATTTACAAAAAATTAGAAAGCCCTAGCTTATAAAAGAAGTTGTCATCTACCCAATTGTGCCCTATTATATCTGGCATCACAGATGGTCTGCATAAATACTCTCTAAACTGGTGGGTGACCTCAAGCACTGTGCCAGGGTGAGAGCCCTCAAATTCTGAGAACCAGTACTTTTTATTCAGAAACGTCTCCAGAGCGCAGAAAGGCAGTGAATCCAGCTACTCTAGAATGATGAAATAGCCTTATAAACAAGAACACTCTTGAAACTTTGCTCTGCTTTTGTCTACATCAAGAAAATCTCCTTTATATTTCAGCATCCCAAGTAAGATTATTTATCCTCAGGGGCACTCTCAGAAAAGGTTGGGCACTTATGATCCTACCTGATACCCTCATTGATAAGTCTGTATTCATTTGTCAATCAGGCTCTTACTTAGAGAATCAGCTCCCCATAGCCTTCTTATCTCTGAGGAACTTAAGGAATTAAGTTCCCAACCCAGCAAACCTGAGGGCCAACTCCTGGCTCATGGTGACCTTAGGCAATTTACTTTCCCGGCAGCATCATTTAATGATTTCCCTAAAGGAAACATCTCACACAGAAGGGACTAGCCATGGGGAGACCACTGTTTTGCCACTGGGTACCTGAAAACTTCATCTGTCCAGATCTGAGCAGGATAAAAAGGAGTTTGGAGTCAGACATCTGGTCAGTGAGGCTTTTGCTGGCTCCCTGTGAGAATAGCTGAATCCCTGTGGCACCAACACTTAGGTAGCATGCTCTGCAATCACTGGTCCTGGGGACAGACTAAGGGAAACGCTGAAAGCATACTCAGAGGGTCAGTTCAGATGGGAAAAGTAGCTTTCCTAAGGTTGTAGGGGACAAAGGCTGCTTCCCACAGAGCCTGCCTCAGGGGTTTGGAACCGGCCAGGGCAACAGGCCAGGTATTTCAAGCCTGTTGCAAGACCATCTGGGGAGACTGGATGGAGTTGGGATTTTGTTCCTGCACCCCATCTTCCCATTCTATCTCTCATCATTTTGTAGGGAAGAAACACTAGGTCTTCCCTGTGTGGTTGTGAGCTTTGACCCAAACCCTTGAGCTACCTGGCCCCAGAGCTGCCCCAGGATTAGATCTTAGGTGTATTTCAAACTGTTTTTGTCTTCCCACTGGGCTATGGGAAACATGGCCCTCTTGATTTACTTTCTGAGGAGAAAACTGAGAAGTAGTAGCGGACTGAATACCTAGCATCTCTACCAGAGGTTCCCACTTAGTGGCAGGAGAATTCCCCATGTACCTAACACGCATACAACAGTTTCATTCTGTAACACTAGAGAAAGGTGTGCTGGCCTCCTCTCATGTGATACCATGGGGTTTTCTCTGACAGAGCTCTGGGAAAGTCTGACCAATGTTTTACCTGACCTGCTGGACCAAGGCCACTGAACTGAGGGAAAAAGAAGTGGAAAGGGGAGAGAGCCAGATCTAACTATCGAAATTTAGCCTGAGTGCCTGTCTCCAAGGAAGGATTCTACTGGGACTGTTCAGCCAACTTCAGGGAGAGAGGTGTTGTCCCTATCTGGAGTCAGCCAGAGCCCACTCCCTAGTGCCTTGGAGCAGCCAACTGAACTCTGGTATTTGCTCTCACTGTGCTTTTATACTTTGCCAATCGGTTCCACCCTAGTCCTGCTGGGAGACAGAGCAGCCACTGCCAAAGACTTTGTCTTTCTTAACCACAGTCCCCATAGCATCCAAGGACCTCTGGCTCTGAGGTCCCACCAAATCCCTGGCTTCCCTGGGACAATGCCAGAGGAATGCTATCACTGACTTTGACACTGACATCACCACAAGTTGTTGCTCTCAGTTAAGGCAAAACTAGCTTCTATAACAATCTTCCATCTCTCAGTAGCATAAACACAGTAGATTTGTTTCTTGCTCATGTTAATCCCAATCAGGTACTCAATGGGTTGCCTCTCATGTGATAATTTGTGGACCGTGGGCCCAAACTCCTCCTGGTTGGAGGCCTAGCTATTTTCTTGAGTCTTGGGGTCCTTTGCCTTTAGCTGGAAGACAAGAAGAGAGAAGGTAGAGGAGACATACCCACTTCTTAATCAGTTTGGTCTGGAGGTGACACTCATCATTTCTGCTTACCTCCCTGAGATGGGGACTAGTCTACTTAGTCCATGTGGCTCTACCCAGACACAAGGGGAGTTAAAGAGTGTAGCTCCTGGCCAGAGCACCCTCTGCAAGACCTCATTATGAGAATGGAGCACAGACCTCAGAGCACAGAGAAGTGATGCCTGGCAGTGGCAAACCAAAGAAACTGAGGAAATGGGATACATTACTGGGTGTGAGTGTGAGAAAAGACATGGAACTATAGGGAAGCTAGAGTTACAAAAGCTCCAAGAGAAGGAACAAAGATGAGGAGAGCCACCTAAGTTGGAGCTCTGGAAGAAGGAGAAAAGGTTGGAGCAGCTGCTATAAGATGTGAGACTTTAGAAAGAGACTACATACAATTATTGCTAACTGTTGTATGGTATGATTTCTCCCCTGTCAAGCTCCAGTGAAGGTTTTGGGGTATGAAAGGACAGAGGACAACCTAGGGTTATTGAATTTAAATAGTTTAAAATCAATAGCTATTTTAAAATTAGATAGTGGTGGTGGTTGAACACCTTTGTGAATATACTAAAAGCTACTAAATTATACATTTTAAAGGATGAATTTTATGGTATGTGGATTATATATGAATAAAAAATCGTATGAGAAAATGATAGCTACCATTTCTGGATGCTTCTTTTGTGCCAGGTACTTTACACATTTTGATAATCTCAAATTCTTAGTTTAACTGAAAGGTAGGTATGAATGTCTCTGTTTTATAGATGAAGAAACTGAGATTCACTGAGGTTAAATGACCCAATGTCACACAAATGGTAGAGCCAGAATTCACACCCAACTCTGCCTGGCTCTGAAGCTGGCTGGCATTCTCTCCACTGCCCCTTGTGGCTCCCCAACAATAATCACTGTCTGTATTGAGCACCAGATACTGAGCACTTTGACTATAAAACTCAAATTCCCTCAGCAATCCTGGGAAGTTAACAATATTCTTGACTTTATAAATGAGGTTACCAATGCTTGGAATTGTCAATAATTGCCACAAACTCAGCTACTAAGTGGCAATGCCAGTAGCTGATTTCAAATCCTTTCTGATTTCAAAGCCCTTCAACACGCTTTCTTTTGGGAGTCCATCAGCACTCCTCTATTTACAGTGGCAAACACATTTCTCTCTATCTTCTTAACAAACCTTGCTTTTCACTGCCTGATTCAATTCAGCTCACTTTATGGAGTGCTTTTTAAGTGATAAGTATTAGGCTACGATGGCTAGTCATTGCTTCTTCACTAGTTGAGGTCCATCTCCTTTTTCAAAGTTGGATTCAAAGGTCCTTTCTCTATGAAGTTTTTTCTACCCAACTGTGTTCACATTTATTCCTTAAACAGGAAGATGATTGATTTGATTATACCTATGCTACTCAAAGTGTAGTTTTTGAATGAGTCTAGTCTGAGATGGTTGTTGTCAGTTCATGCAAGATAAGTAAAGAAATGGAGTGTAAGTATTTAGAAACTATCATAGCAATTTAATATTGCTATAATATCCAACTGCATAATCAGCAGGCTCATATTTTGTCTTTTTCATTTTTCTAGTAATTTATTTTTATTGTATTTTACAAAAGAATCAGTCTGCCACAGATTGGAAATTCTTTTAAAAAACAATCCTGTACCACAAATAATTTGAGAAACACTGATCTACAAATGGCAAATATAGGCCAAGTCTGGCCCACCACTTAATTTTGCAAATAAAATGTTATTAAAACACAGTCACAGCCACTTATTTACATATGGTGTATGATTGCTTCCATGCTATAATGGCAGCATTGAGTAGTTGTGACAGAGACCACATAGCCCACAAAGTCTAAAATATTTGTTTTCTGGACCTTTAAGGAAAAGGTTTACTGACATCTGATCTAGACCACTTGTTCTCAATCATGATTACACTTCAGGAATTCCTGGGAGACATTTTAAAAATACCGATGGCTGGGTTCTGTTCCCGGGGATTCTGATTTCATTGGTTTATGGTGCAGCCAGTGCAGGTCATTTTAATGTTCAGCAAAGTTTTAAACCACTGATTTAGATCAGTAACTTTCAACTTTGGCCTGGAATCAGAATCACTGAGGATGCCAGGGATTCACTCTCAACCTACTGTATCAGAATTCTGGGAAGTGGGGCCCAGGCATGCTTGAATGTGTTTTTGTTAAGTAAATCCTCTGCAGGTAATTGAGATGTTTAATAGGGATTGAGAGACACTGGTATCAACCCAAGAGCAATGATTTTTAAAACTGTTACATATATCTAAATTACATGAAGAGGGTGCTAAGAATACAGACTACCAAGCCCCACATCGAGTGAGTCTAATTCAGCAGGTCTCAGAGAGATGTGACCCAGGAATGTGTATTTTTAGCAAGCTGTAAGAAACATGGCTGTGCTGCAGCCAAGCAGGCACAGGCTGAGGTAAACATCCTGCATGACTCAGCAGGATTGGAGTGCAGGCACACATTCTCATGCCTTATATAATCACAGCTATCTAAACATAACATAGAGAAGCTCATGACCTGGCTCTCAGCCACTATTGTTTGTAAGGTGTATAAATGTAACACTGACACTGAGAAAGAGCTGCTAAATAAAGCCATATCTCATCTACCTGCTGTCTCTCGAGTGTTCTTCTAGCTCCCTGCCCCCTATCCACCCACTCCCCTCAGACCTCAGCTGGGGCTCGAACCTGACAATTGGCATAGTCAGCAGGATGAGGTGAGTGGGTCTTCATTCCTTGAGGCTTCCAGGTCAGCTCTGTGGCCACAGCACGGGCTGTGGTACCCAGTGGCAGAGGTGCTGCTTGGATGGGCCCCAGTGGAAACATAGGAGGCAGTGGACTGGTCTCCCACGAGTGTGGAGAAGGCACTGGAGCAGCTGGAAGCACACAGCTTCAAGAAGGAATGCACTTTTGCCGGCAGAGTCGATGGGCATTTCTGACTGCACTGTGTGAAGTATATACTCAGTCCTTGCAGGACACAGTGCAGGTAAGGGATCTTCAGACACAAGCTAAGTGCCTGGGGGCCAAAATGCACAGCTTGTAGTACAGCCTGGGGATGAAGGACTTCCAGGCTCAAGCAGGGTGCTTAGAGGCCCAGATAAACAGCCTGGAACAGGAGTTAGCAACAGCTGTTAGTGCGACCTGAGCCCATCCTCCCAGCCGGACACTCTCATTGGGTCTGATGCCGAGGAGGAGGAGGCTCTTCTGCTGCTGGCTTGCCCCATGATCCATCAGAAGTAGAACGCAAGCAGCCAATGGAGCCCCAGGGGAGAGCCCAGGGACTCCCACAGTGGTGGAACACACCTCTTATAGTGCTTATAACCCCACTGAGTTGTGTGAGTTAGGTAAACGCGCCGGCAGCCCCTCCCTGCCTGGTTACTCCATCTTTGGGACAAAGGAACTGACAACATTCCCTGCTCCACCTCTGATAGAGAAGCTGGCTTCTATCACAACTCACCCCTCCCTTCATTAGTGGCTGCAGCTGTGCCAATGGTCAGCACAGGGACAAGATGACCACACTTTAATTGAGTGGCTAATGGGAGCCACATGGACTGTTTGGAATGATGCCAGAGAAATACCAGAAACTGTGAGTAAATGGCAATCATATACTGATTTGGTGCAGATACTCTAGGAGATGGGTATGCAGCAGGCTGTGTTTGATCTGAATACCTGGGGGCCAGATGATAAATGCTTTGCCTCCCACATGAGGGATCTGGTGCTGGGCTCAGCATCCCCAAACTCTTTTGGCTCTCTGGCCTCTGTTCTCACCCTATATGTGGGGCACCGTATACATGAAGTGACTACCGCTATGGCAGCCCTTGGGGAGGCAGAAGGCCATTGGCAGGACCAGGGACTCCATGCCATAAAGAAGGGAAAGTCCATGCTGTAAAGAAGGTCCACAGGTAACTATCCAAGGATATAACAAGGGGCCCAGTGGGTGACCCACAAGCCAATGTGGTTTGATTTACTTTCAGCTAGGGTTGCTCAAGAGACACTTGACGGGCAACCCAGTGAAATGCTGTTGGCTCTGTGGAGGCAATTTTCCCCAGAGCAACAATTCTGGAAAATGCCCAAGAAGGGGCAAAACAGTTGTTCAACCTAATCCTGTCTAGACACTGCAGCTCAAGGACTATTTGCAGACAGGCGAAGATATGGCACCTTTCTTGTTTGATTAGGGAACTGGCCAAGATGCCTGGCTTTGTGGGAGTTGGGGAGTGGATGACCAGAGGCCACATGTGGAGCTGGCAATCCACTGCTCCCCAACTAATGTACAGAGGGTCTTGGCACTGGTAGATACTGGTGCAGACTGCAGTCTAGTTTTTGGGAACCCGGGTAAGTTTCTGGGCAAAACTGTATTCATTGACAGTTATGGGGGCCAATCAGTAAAGGTGAAACCTGTCTCTGCATCTTGGCATTGGCCGCTTGGATCCCCACCTATACTCTGTGTATGTCTCTCCTATACGTGAATATTTTCTGGGGATGGACATTTTGCATGGTCTGGATTTACACCTCACGGCCAAAGAATTCAGACTCCAAGTTTGCATAGTAAAGCTGGTACTGCGTGGACATACACATCACCAGTCCCAAGCTCTGCCACAACCCTGATGGGTTACCTCCACTCATCAATACCATTTGCCAGGGGGGCATACAGAGATAACTAAGACTACTAAGAAGTTAGATGAGGTGTAAATAGTGCGTAGCATTGATCGCCCCTACAATTCCCTGGTATGGCTAGTCAGAAAGCCTGATGGAACTTGGCAGATGACAGTGGATGATTGGGAACTGAATAAGGTGACACCTCCTCTGCATGCAGCTGTACCCTCCATCATGGATTTGACAGACCACTTGACAATGGAACTAGGACAGTACCACTTTGTGGTGGACTTAGCTAATGCATTCTTCTTCATTGACATTGCTCCAGAGAGCCAGGAATAGTTTGCCTTCACATGAGAAGGATGACAATGGACTTTTACCATACTGCCGCAGGACTATGTGCATAGCCCCACCATTTGTCGTGGTCTTGTTGCCATGGAATTAGCTGCCTGGAAATGTCCAAAAGGGGTCCTCCTGTTTCATTACATTGATGATATTATGTTAACCTCTGATTCTCTTGCAGATTTAAAAGTGGCAGTGCCCCTCTTGTGGCAACATTTGGCAGCATGTGGTTGGGCCATCAACAAATCCAAGGTCCAATGGCCTGGATTATCTGCGAAATTCTTAGGAGTTATTTGGTTGAGTAAGACAAAGGCCATACCAGAGGCCATCATTGAGAAAATCCAGGCATACCCCCGACCCACCACGATGAAGCAGCTGCAGACTTTTGTAGGCCTCTTGGAGTATTGGCGGCCATTTGTGCCCCATTTGGCTCAAATGATAAAACCATTGTATGGGTTATCAAAAAAAGGGGCTACCTGGGATTGGGATAATGAAGCTGGAACAGACCTTCTGGCCGCCAAGTGGGCCATTCAGCAAACACAGGCCTTACAAGTAATTGATCAGGGGTGCCCATTTGAACTTGATGTACATGTAACCACAGACGGTTTTGGCTGGGTCCTATGGCAGCGCATGGAGTGCTTTAGAACGCCAGTAGGTTTTTGGTCCCAGCTGTGGAAGGGAGCTGAGCTCCAGTACTCATTAATACAGAAGGAATTAGCTGCTGCATATGCTGCTCTTCAGGCTTATGAGACTGTGACGGATTGGGCTACAGTCATCGTGCAGATGAGTTACCCAATAGTCGGGTGGGTACATTCCTGAGTAGTGACCCTCCAGACTGGGACAGCACAGACAACCACTTTAGCGAAGCGGGGTGCCTACTTGGAACAGCAGAGTATGCTGACTACAACTCCCTTAGCAGCAGAGTTACAAGAAGCCTTGGGGCCTATAGTCCTAATGGAAGATAAGGCCATGGGGCCTGAGGCACCCCTAGACCCTGAGCCATCACTGTTAAAGAAAGGGTATCCTCTCGTTCCTGATGGGGCATGGTATACAGATGGGTCCAGCCAGGGTGCTGCTGCTGCCTGGACTGCTGTGGCAATCCAGCCGACACTGACACCATATAGTTTGATACTGGGTGTGGACAAAGCACCCAGTGGGCTGAACTCAGAGTGGTTGAGGATGGTGATTCCCAGAGAGGAGTCACCTATGATACTTTGCACCAATAGCTGGGGAGTCTATTGAGGTTTAACTTTATGGTTGACTACCTGCAAGTTACAGAATTGGCTTGTAGGCCATCAGCCCATTTGGGGACAAACTATGTGGCAAGACCTCTGGGAAACAGGTCATCAGAAAGATGTAACTATCTATCACATGTCAGCCCATATGTCTTTGGTCACTCTGGTAATGATGAGGCAGATGCCTTGGCCAAGGTCAGGTGGTTAGAGTTGGCACCTATATGAGATGTAGCCTTGTGGCTACACAGGAAACTGGGACAAGCGGGGGTTAACTGATGCAACAGGTCAATAGGTGCTGGCATCTGTCTTTGCCCTCACAGGACATTTTGGAGGCCTGCCAGAAGTGCCCAGCATGTGCTCAAGCATACCTGAGACAAAGACAACTGCCCAATGTGACACAACAAGTGACAGTAGGGCAGATGCCCTTGACCAGATGGCAAATAGATTACGCTGAGCCACTGCCAAAATTGCAGGGCTACACATATGCGCTGATGGCTGCAGACATAGCCACCGGCTTGTTGCTCATCTACCCTTGCAGGTTGGCCAACCAGCAACACAGCATTCGAGCCCTGCAACACTTAAGTGCCTTATATGGCCTTCCTCTGGCCATCAAAAGTGATAGGGGAACACATTTTACTGGACATCAAATACGACAGTGAGCACAGCAGATGGACATACAATGGGAGTTCCATGTTCCTTATAACCCACAAGCCGCTGGCATGATTGAGCAATATAACAGACTCCTGAAGAACAGGTTATGTTTGCATGTTACTTCCCCATCCTTGGGGGCTGGAGTTCCAGGTTGGACCTGGTGCTTCAAATCTTGAATAAGTGGCCACAGAAAGGCAGCCCAGCCCCGGTGGAGGCACTGTTACACCAGCCCGCTGCCCCCATCCTGCTACAGATACACACCAAGAATGACCTCCTCCGACCAGGTATGGGGACAAATGGTAATCTGTTGTTGCCTGCTCTGGTGCCCCTGAAGGGAGGGGAACAGAAAACCTGGTGTTGGCCATGGACCCTCCAAGCCCTCCATTACAGATGATTGGCTATTGTAGCCCCCTTAGGGGAGGGCATGCAGTATGACTTACATGTGACTCCTTGGGTATTTAATGTGTGGCCTTCATGATTGACCATTGGTAGGGGAAAAGTAGGGAAGGGACCCTCCTCTGGGGAACATATGTATGGCCTATTATGTGTGGCCTATTATGTCTGTGTGGCCTATTATGATCTCCCCTGTGACTTTAACACAGCTACGAGACCCAAAAGAACCATGGGGAGCTAAGAAGGTGTGGTATCATCAGCCAGGGCAGAAGTCCTTGATGGTTGCATTGTTATCCAGAGATAAAAAGTTGGCCTGTATTTTGCCTGAGTGATGTGATTTACCGCTATAGGTACCGGTTCCTGCTTTGTCATTTCAGCTGTAGGTTGGCATGCTCCAACAACATCATGGACTGGGCCCACACCTACACCGAGTTGACCAATGTCTCCAACTGTTGGATCTGCACCGCCCTTCCAGCAGCAGCTGCAGACAGCTTGCCCTGGCTTGTGCATCCAGCTTCTGTGCAGAACCGGACATTGCTAAAGACTTGGGGTCCCACGGACAATGGGTGGGATGCAACATGGAGGCTTTGGATAGGGGGTGTCACAAAACCCATGGCAAGCTTGCCCCCTGGCTGACTCATAACGTCCATGAGGGCTGGCTAATGGGAGAACACATGGTGCCCCCATTGCAGGTATCACGATGTATAGAGCAACACTGGGGTAAAGTCATTCTGGGATGGCTGCTGGCTGAGGCCTGTGCAAATGTAACACATGCCACACACCTTGCCAAGACCAGGCCCCCATGGACTTTGTAGCCCCTGGGAGTTTATGGGTCTGTGAGAACACAGGATGGCCATATCATGCCAGCCAACTGGACTGGACGTTGTACCTGGGGGTGACCTTATATGCCTGCCACTGTGCTCCCACATTGCCTAGTTGCCCGCATAAGTGGGAGGTGCTGCGTTTCTGCTTTTTGTGAGTGTGGCGGGCCCCCTGGTGGTTCTATCGCTTAGCAATAACTATCCCTGGGGTAAGTGTCATCACTGTAGAAATGTAGGTTACAGCCTTTGCAGAGCACGCAGCTTGGGCCCTAAATTACACCTGAATTGCCCTCCTTTTGCTAACCGATGAAGTTAATCAGATCAGGAAAGTGGTGCTGCCAAACCGGATTGCCTTAGACATAGTTACAGCTGCCTAAGGTAGCATCTGTGCCCTTGTAGGGACGCAATGTTGTACATTCATCCCTGACAACCACCAGAACATAACGACAGCTTTACAAGTGGTGTCACGGGAGATTAAGGTGATTGAGAGCCTTACTGACCACCCCCTGCAGAGATAGTATGCATCTCTGAGCTCTGGTCTAAGTTGGGCTCTCATAATCATAGATAGCATAGCAGGAATGTTAGTAGTAGGTTGTTGCTCTCTGTGTTGTGGCCTATAAGTCCAGGGTGCTTCCCTATGTGCTCAGGTCCCCACTAAGAGGATCCTCTCGGCCTAGGGAGTGGAGCATAGGGAACATGGCTGCACTGCAGCCAAGCAGTCATAGGCCGAGGTAAACATCCTGCATGGCTCAGCGGGATTGGAGCAAAGGTGCACATTCCCATGCCTTATATAATCACAGCTATGTAGATATAACTTAGAGATGCTCATGACCTGGCTCTCGGCCACTACTGTTTGTGAGGTGTATAAATGTAACACTGACACTGTGAAAGAGCTGCTGAATAAAGCCATGTCTCATCTACCTGCTGTCTCGAGAGAGTTCTTCCAGCTTCCTGCCCCCAGTCCACCCACTCCCCTCAGACCTCAGCTGGGGCTTGATCCTGACACAAACCCTGACAAAGTCTTCTGGAGCAGAGGGCAACCTTGGCCCACACTTTGAAAAACACTGCCCTAGTGCAATAGCACTTGGTTTCTGTCCAGGCTCCCACAGAATGATTTAGATTCTGTGACTCATATTTTTCCCTTTGTAAAATGAAGAGAAGATCCCTCCTGAGCTTTACTTTTTCAGGCCTGTCCAAGTCCTGAATATGTTAACACATATGAAAGTGAAGAGTAATGCGTATAGAGAAGCATATGTATGCTCCCTGAAATATAAATAGCTGATAATGTACCTTGTTCTATCTCCAAACAGATTTACATTTATTCCAAAGAATTCTCCAGGGGTAGAATTTGTGCAGCTAGAATAGGCTCAGAGGAGGAAGTCTGGGGTTTGTATGGGACTTTTTCTGCATCCTTTCATTCATGTCCATGTAATAATAATAGGAAGGAGAAGAAAAAGAAACTTACTATCCTAAGCCATTCACACAGATGATTTCCATTTAATTCTCATATTAGTCCTCTAAATTAGATAGTATCAGTCTGCTCACTTTAAAGAGGAGGCAGATACAGATCAGAGGAGTTCAGTAATTTGTCCAAAGTCATTGACAGCTAGAATGTGTCAGGGCAGGAATTTAGGGCCCAAGTCATCAGACTCTAGAGCACACCTACTTAAACACACTGCCATTCTCGACTGTGTCTGTGTAAAAACCACCTTAACCAGTGTCTTAGTCCATTTGGGTTACAATAACAAAACACCTTAGACTGAGTAGCTTATAAACAACGTAAAGTTATTTCTCACTGTTCTGAGGACTGGAAAGTACAAGATCAAGGTGCTGGCAGATTCAGTGTCTGATAAGGGCTCATTTTTTGGTTCCTTATCATTGTATCCTCACATGGTGGAAGGGGCAAGGCAGTTCTCTGAAGTCTCTAAAGACACTAACTCCATTTAGCAGGAATGTGCCCTCATGATCTAATCACGTTCCAAAGGCCCCACCTCCTAGTATTATCACATTGGTGATTAGGTTTTCAACATGAATTTTGGGGGGACACCAATATATAGACCATAGCAACCAGAAAAGGGAAGAGAAAGCTTTCTGAAAACAATTCAGCCACCTATATGCTTCCTTCTAGTGCAGTATTTGCTCAGAATTCCTAACTGTGGAGCTACATGCCCTATGTAATCCTCTACCTGAAGTCCTTATATAGGCATGATTTAGGCTCTGGATGATACAAACACACTTGGAAGGACTTTCTTTGCCATTCAGTGGTTGCCATTTCTGAAGTCATCCCACGACCTGACCATTCATTATTTGGGAGCTATCAGCAGCAAACAGAACAGAATTCTCAGCATAGGAAGAGAAGCAGAATCATAGGAGAGAAACAATCACTGAGTATTTCCTCCCACCCTACCAGGAGAACATGGCAAGCCTGGGGACTCAATATTTCTAAAGATTAACTCTGCAACAGTGGAGAGTGAGGGCAGGGCTGTGAAGAGGATCTTCCCTGTGATACCTCTAAGCATACCATCTATTTGATTGAGTGCAGTTGAAAGTAAATCTGCTTTAGTGAGTTTTGGGGTGATACAAGAAATGAGGCAACATAAATAATGGACCAGGTCTTTAATCTGTAAGGTCATGGACCATTTGAGGGTTGGTCCAGTTGCAGCTGCTAGAGGCTTTGTCCAGGAGCTGCTGGGAGTAGGCATCTTTGTTACAGATAAATTTGTTTTGTTTGTTTTGTTTTTTACAGTTTCTGACCCAGGGAAAGGGAGCTGGCTAAAGCGGAGGTCCCCACCCACTACCCTGTCCTACTCCTACCTCCCAATTCCCTCCTCTGTCCCAATCCCTCAGATCCAGGGAACTCAGAGTCCCTTTTCTTACCATGCATTTTAACTTTCCTTTCCCCCTTCCCCTCACTACCCTGATCAGTCCCTCCTCTCTGCTCCCTGCAGCAGAGTGGCCTTGACAGCAGCAGTCAGGGTATGGCTGTTGACCTGCTGCTGACCTACTGCCTTCCAGGCCAACCATCCTCAACACAGTTCACCAGAGGAGCCCAGAACACTCTGGTAACCTGCTGTAATATGGAAGTACCTTCCAGTAAAGAGAGCCTTTTGTTGATCTAACTCAAGGGTCAGCAAACTATGGCCCAGTAAACTTTTACTGAAACACAGTCACATCCATTCATTTACATAGTGTCTATGGCTGCTTTTCTGCTACAAGCCCGAGTTGAGTAGCTGTGATAGAAACCTCATGGCCTGCAAAAAGCATAAAATATTCACTCTCCAGCTATTTACAGAAAAAGTTTTTTGGCTGTCACCCAGACCAGGCTGCCATGGTTCTGGTATGCAGAAGTGGTTCTTGGGTGTTTTCTTCAGAAGTTTCTTGAACCTTTGAAAGACAATTGTGGGGGCCATACAAAGGAGAGAAGAGTAACAAAAGGAGACATGACTGCTATCTTGCACCCACAAAGCAGATCAGTCACCCCCATAGTGAAGAGTGTATTCCTGCTTCAGGAGAGAGAGCAAGGGGTGGAGCACTTATCTGCTGGTTGAAGCAGGGCAATACTTCCCTATACAAAATCCCTTTAATTTTCTCACCACTCAGCTCAGCGAGGGCTTCTTGGTGGTACAGGAACAGAAACAAAAGTGTAATGGAAGCTGACCAGGAATCCATTAATACAAATCTCTGTAGCTTTTCTCTAAAGGGGAACATATTGGTAAAATGCAAGTTTCCTGCAGCCCTTTGCTGATCAAACCCAGGATAGAGTTCATGGCTTCCACTCGCTCTGCATCCTTTTCATCTAACAATAAAACTACTTGAGTCATGAGTAGTCAACCCCTCCACCCACAAATAATTGGCCATGTAATGTTAGGATAATTTTAATTTGAGGATTAATTAATTAATTTGAGGATCATTAATTAATAATAATATTATTAATCATAATAATAAGGATGCAATATCCACTATTACTAGTCTGTCATATATTGAGACATCATATATTACCTACACTTCCAAGAATTATGTGTTTTACCTCATGTATGGCGATTTGACAGACTCAAAATAGTGCCAGATTCTGCCCATTTCTTCTTTACTTCAAACCCGTGCCCCCCCACTACCACCACCACCCTGACTATCCCCATGGTTGGTTGGACGTTGCCCCGTACCTGGCAACAGAACACAGATTAACTGGGGCTCCTATTGGTCTTGCTCTGGAAACATCTCTGAGGCGCGGTAGTACTCAGATGTCTCAAGGGTCCCCTCCCAGTGCTCTGTGGAGGCCAGATCATAACTTAAAACATGTTCTTCATCATCATTGCTCTGGAAGTTGCCTCTGAACTACTACAGTACTCTGCGATTCATTCTAATATCATGATGGTCTCTAAGCCATCGTGGGGCTCCAGTCTCTTTCTCGTCCTTGACCTGGATGAAAACTGTTGGTCTTGGAGTCCCAGGGAGAAAGCTTACTGCTCCTCTTTGATGACATACTATCTTTAGAACATGTCTGCTACTATTGCTGATGCTCCTCAGATAATCCTAGGATGCCATTCATTTATTCAATTATTCAAAGAGCATGTTGAGCAGCTCCTATGTGGACAGAGTGAACAAGAAAGTGTCTTGACTTTAGAGGAGGCTTCAGGCTAGGTAGGAGAGAGACAAAAATAACACATAACATAGTCATAGAGCCCAGGGTGCTGTGGGAACTTGGATTTGGAAGTGATGGTTTAGGAAAGCTTCCTGGAGAAGTAACATCAAGATGAATTTTAAAAGACAAGTAGGAGCCAGGAAAAAAGATCTAGGACAGGGAAGGAGTTGTAGGCAGAGGAGCTACATATACACTGGGCTAGAGGCTTAAGAGAGAGTTATGGGGGTTGGAAGAAAGTATGTCTCTGTCTTTTTTGACTTGTGGCACATGCAGATGTACCTATGGTGCCCAAGACTTCAGGCCCTACCAGAAGCCTAGCAGCACAGGTGATAGCTGCCCTCCATGAGAACTCGGACTCTGCCTGGGAAGGTACATTCCTGGTGTTGCTTCACGGTGGAATCATTCTTTTCTCTTCCTAATGCTCCTGACATGGGCTATGGGTCCACCTAACCCTGGCCTGACTTGACCTTCTATTAGCTGAGAGATATTTGTCTATATCGTGCTAACGTTTAAGGTTATGTCCTTAAGGTAAAAAAACAAGCCTCAAAATTCCTATCTGTCACCTTTCTAGATGCTCTGTGGCCTCTCAGCAAATTAGACCACCATCTCACTGTATGGAACGGCAATGATCCAGTTCCTCCAGCACCATGTCTGGATCCTTGGTAATGTTCACTAGACTCTACTGGGCCCTACACTATTCTTACATAATTATGATTAACAACTGGTTGAAAACTGTGACTTTTACTTGTCCCCACATTGATTGAACTAAGAGAGACATGAAGAAGATTGAGGGCCCTGCTCCAATTCTCAGAAAGAGAAAACATCTAAAACAATTAATCTGTGGTTTGTGCTTGGCTTTATGACTTTCGTGAGGTTTGTTCAACTGATGCCAGCAACATCTGGAACTGAAAGCATGACTGGTCGTATTGCAATAAAAAGAGGCTTACTTGGTTAGGTTCCCCTGCAGGAAGAACTCCAGGAGGGAGAGCAGCAGAGAGGGTGCAAGGCCACCAGAGGCAGCTAGCGGGCAGAAGGCATGTGGTTTCTGCCTAAGGAGAGAGCAGCCATTTGATCTGGTTAAGGCAGGACCCAGGAGGTAGAGAACCACCACCCAAAAGCAGGTGCTTTACAAGGTTCTGGGCTTTAACCCAGCCAGTCCCTCTCCTCTTGCAGCCTCCTCACCTTTCACTTCTAGGCTTTAGGACTCTCCCCAAATATCCCTCAGCAATAATCTACCCACACTCTAAGCCAGGCTGCTGACCCTAAACTGACTCCCCCAGTCTTCTCAGATCAAAATATTTCTGACTACCAATACATTTTTTTTAAAGCCCCAGTGGGCAGAGAAAAAATGCAGGAAAGGGTTATGTTAGAGTTTTAAGACAATGGGGTAAGGGTGACTTTTCCTGTCATAAAAATTCTTTTACAGTTATTATGATCATATTTTGTTAATAAAAGGAATATTGTTTTTATTTTGTTCTCTTTCTTTCCAGATTTTTAAGTCCACTACATTGCCAATCTTTGATATATTTGGTCAGTGTTATATGCTAATTGCTTAAAGCCCACCACTCCCAGAAAGAACTGTGCTTTTAAGGTGAATTTCTGGAAACAACTGATGTACAAATAATGTATTTCTAATATCAGCTCAGTAGCATGGCTGAGTTTTTGTAAGGATTATGTGTAGAATCCCTGAACCTTAACAGCTGGTAAAAATCTTGCTATTCATTTAGTAAAACCTTCCACCCAGTGGTGGAATTCTCTCTGCAACACACAGAACTACTTGATCACTTCCAGTTAAGGGAACTCTTTCCGTGGGAAGCAGTCTACTAAGCCTTTGGATGGTTTTGAATGTTAAAAAGTTCTTTTCACTAAAAGAAAACCTGCTTTCCTGAAGATTCCTTTTACTGAACTATGTTAGGCTCTGTGGAGCAACTCTAAATAAGTCTAATCCTTATTATGGTAGTAGGTTGCCAGCTATTTGCTTTTACCAACAGTGCTGTTTGAATGTTCTTGTCCTTGCCTCCTAGTGCACAGAAGCAAGAGTATCCATAACTAGATGTGGAACTGATAGACCACAGGATAAACAAATGTTCATCTAATAAGAATAACCAAATTGTTTTTCAACGTGCTTGTATCATTCTCCACTCCTACAATGTGATTTGTATTTTCTCTTTCTTTGTAGTATCTTTGGATGAAGAGAAATTTTTAATGTTAATCTTTTCTTTTATAGTGTGTTTTGTCTTAAGACATTCTTTCTTATCCCAAGGTCAGAAAGACATTCTCCACATTTCACTTCGCATTTTTAAAGTTTCATCTTTTATGTTTTATTTTATAATACATCTAGAATGGATTTTATGTATGGAGAATTCTAGGGAACCAACTTAATATTTTTCTATATAAATAATCAATTGTCCCAGCACCATTCGTTGAACATTTCTTTCTTCCCCCAACAAATTTGTGGCATCATCTATATCATTTATCAAAATTCCATATATGTGTAGGCTTTTTTCTGGGTTCTCTATTTTTATCTAGTAATCTATTTGTCTGTTTCTATAGCTTTATAAGTCTTAACAACTGATAAGGCAAAGATCCCAATGTACTCCCTCTTTCATGTCTCTTTGCTCTTACATGTACATTTTAGAATCAGCCTGTTGAGTTCCAAACCTGTTGGAAGTGTGATTGAAGCTGCATGAATCAACCAACTTGGAGATACTTAACATATTTATGACAATGAATCCTTCTATTTATAAACTAAGCAATCTCTCCATTTAGGTTTCCTTTCCTCCTAATTTTTAAAATTTCTAACTACAATTCTTGTACATCTTTTGTTATATTTATTCTTAAGTACCTTATTTTTTATTGCTCTTACAAATTATTTCCTTTCTAAAAATCCTTTTGTTTCTTGCTGGCACATAGATATATAAATTTACCTTTTATTTTGCTTTTTAAGTCAGTCACCTTGCTAAATTCTATTATTTCTAATTCTGTTGTTTGAGATTTGCAGTGTAAACAAATCTATTATCTGAAATTATCAATTTTGCTTTCTTTTCTATTCTTATGCTTCTATTTGCTTTTTGTTGTCTTATCATGCAGCTAGAATCTTTAGTACAATGTTGAATAGAAGCCATAATGGCAGACATCCTTGTCTTCTTTCTAATGCTTCTGGCATCCCTCATTAACAATAATATTTGATGCAAATTTTTGCTAGATAGTCTTTATTAAGATAAGAATATTTTCTTTTATTCATATAATTTACTAAGAATCATGGAATGGGTGTGGAATTCTAGAAAAATCTCTTTTTTTAAAAAAGTTTCACTGAGATATAATTTACAAAAAATTAAATTCACATTTTAGATGTACATTTCAATAAATTTTCACAAATATATGCAGTTATATACCACCACTACAATCAACACATAGATCATTACCATCACCCCAAAAATGTCCTCATGCCTCTATGCAGTCAATCCCCTCGTATTCTATTTTTTAATGAAAGATTTAATTAGTTAATATTTTATTAAGAATTTTTGTGTGTACATTCATTAGTGGTTTTGTCCTGTAGTTTTACTTCTGTTACTGTATTTCTCTGATTTTGGTATTGACATTATTCTGGCCACATAAAATACATTGGGGAATATTCCTTTTCCTTATATTTTGTAGAAGAGCTTCTATAAAATGGGAATGATCTGTCCCTTGAAAATTTGGTAGAATTCACCTATACAATCATAGGCTATGTTGCTTTCTTTATGAGAAAAGTTTTAAATACTGCTTTAACTTATTGTATAAGGATAGAACAATTCAGGCTTTCTATTTCTTCTAGACTCAGTTTTAAAGTTCTAGGAATTTATTCATTTTATGTCTCTGTTTTCATATTTATTGGCATAAAGTTGTTCATAATAGCTTTTCTTTCTAATCACTGCTATATGTAATTAACGTTTAATATTGTTTAATTATGCATTTTCTTTTTTACTCCTTATCAATATTGACAGACATTAAGCAATTTTATTAACCTTTTCAAAGATTTAAGTTGTGGCTTTCTTGATCCTCTTGAGTGTATCTTTGTTTTCTATTTCATTGATTTCAACTCTTATCTTCATTATCTCTTTCCTTTCTTTGAGTGTATTCTCTTTTTCTGTTTCTAATTTCTTAAGCTCATTACATTTAAGGCTTCTTCTTTTCCAAAATAAACATTTAAGATTATAAATTATTCTCCAAGTTCTGTTTTAGCTGCATGCCATGTTTTGATATGTATTATTTGCATTATTATGCTGATCTGAGTAATTAAATATGCAATACAATTTGTTCTTTGACCCACAATTTGTTTAGAAGACTGTTTTAAAATTTTCAAATGTATGAGGATTTTTTCATCATTTTGTTATTGACTTTCACCAAATTGCACTCTTGTCAGAGAATGTGGTCTTTATGTACAAAGTTTTACATTTGTTGTAGCTTGCTTAACAAGATTATGATCAACTTTTGTGAATGTTGAGAAGAAGGTAATTCTCCAATTTGAGGGAGCAGAGTTCTATGTGTGATCTACATATTAGATCAAGATTATTTACTCAAATCATCTACATTACTATGTTCTTTTGGCATGTGTAACCTATAATATTTCAAAGAGATGTGTTAAAACATACTTTGATGAAAAATATGTCAATTCCTTCTTTAAATTGTATCAGTGTTTGTTGTATATATTGTTCTATATGCTTCCTTTGTTTTAGCATCAGCCTAAGCTCAATATTTTGAGATAAGTGCAGCTATTGTCATTTGTCCTCAAGGCAACCCCACACCACCTGGCTGCCAAAACACTATAGTTCATATTCTCTCTTTCTCTGTCTCTCTTTCTCTTTCTCTCTCTCTCTGTCAATGAATGGAGGGCCATAGAAGATTCTTTCCTAATAGATCAGCAATATCTCTAAATATGCATTCTATTCAGGATCTAGTTATTCTGAGATAAAAGGGTATCTTGGAATACTAGTAGTCATAATTCCAGAAGTAAAAATAACTTAAATGGCTTCTTAACCATTTCAACCCTGTTATTTAGACCATTTTCTTAAGGAAAAATTGAGATTAAAAAAAATGGGTGATCTGTTGTGTTTGATTGTAGCAATGCTGACTGAGTATGTTGCAAATTTGGGTTAGTTGGGCATTTGTGTGGCCCATAGTACCATGCACTAATTATCCCCCAGTTGAGCTCCTCTCAAATTACCAAAACAGCTCTGTGTCAGCTCTTCTCTTTCCTACATCACCCCAGGCTCCTTTCTCTCAGATCAAAGTCTCACCATCTGCTTTATAAGTAACAATTTTCCTTTCATTCTTTTCCCAATTTTTTTTCCTGTCTCATGGGAAGATGTATTCTTTCTCTTTTCCAATGCAAACTCTTTCATTGTGATCTTGATATCACCCATTCCTGTTTTCTCCAGCCTTTGCCTTCTTAGTTATTCCCTCTTATCTCTCTCTCTCTCTCTCTCTCTCTCTCTCTCATTTCACTGTTTTGCCCAGACTGTGGTCAGTGGCGCAATCTCGTCTCTCTGCAACCTCCGCCTCCTAGGTTCAAGTGATTCCTGTTCCTCAGTCTCCAGAGTAACTTGGATTACAGATGTGTGCCACCATGCCCAGCTGATTTTTATATTTTTAGTAGAGATGGGGTTTTGCCATGTTGGCCAGGCTGGTCTCTAACTCCTGGCCTCGAGTGATCCACCTGCCTCAGCCTCCCAAAGTGCTGGAATTACAGGCATGAGCTATCACTTCTCTCTTTCTAATATTTTCTTCCCCTCAGTTTACAAACATTCTCATGTATGTTAATTTTATAACTATCCAACTTTGACCTCCCCTTGCTCCTTCACATAGAGGGCTAGTAATGGATTTTCATTTGTATTGGACTCTGGGTGCTTTGACATTCCTTCCTGGTTTCCTTAAACTTGCCTACCTTCAACTTACACACCTCGGGAAGCAGCCCATTCATTAATATTTCCTTAATTTGAACATCTAAGTAAAAAATCAGCCTTCTGCTAAGACGTTGATATAATTTGGATATTTGTCCCTTCAAGTCTCATGTTGAAATTTGATCCCCAATATTGAAGGTGGGGCCTGGTGAGATGTTTTTGGGTAATTCATCCCTCATGAATGGCTTGGTGCCCTCCTTGTGGTAATGAGAGAGTTCTTGCTCTGTTCATTTCCTCGATACCTGGCTGTCAAAAAGAGTCTGCCCCTTCTCTCTCTCGCTCCTTCTCTTACCATGAGACATACAAACTCCCCTTCCCCTTCTTCCATGAGTGGAAGCTTCCTGAGGCCCTCACCAGAAGCAGATGCTGGCACTGTGCTTCTTGTACAGTCTCCAGAAATGTCAGACAAATAAGCCTCTTTTCTTTCAAAATTACCTAGCCTCAGGTATTCTTTTATAGCAATATGAAATGGATTGAGACAGACTCTATCTGACACAATAGTCAGGGACATTTGATGAGTTACTTAACCACTCTGACCTCCAACTTAACCTGTAAAATATGCATGTATATAATCTTATACAGTTCTTGTGAGGTTTAAGTGAAAAGAGACAAGTAAAAGCAGCTCAGTAAATTTTAGTGATGATGATTATGTCTTAAAATCTATATTTTACCTCCCCTACTGAACCTACTCTTTCAGAGGTCACTATTCACCAAATCCATTAGCTTGCATACTTACAGAAGCAATTTAGGAAGATCTTGAAAACATATAGTTAAGAAAAAATGAGGAATCAAACTCAGGAAACTAGAATGATTAGTGTTAAGTACTTCAGAGTTAACCCCATGAGTCCAGTTACACCCAGATAGCATAGGCAACCCAGGTGGATCGGCACTGCAGCCTTTTCTGACTATGCAGAAAAAATGGGCTCATCCCTGCTGACCTCACATGGGCCACCTGGAGTTGATTTTTGTTTTGTTTTATTTTATTTAAAAAAATAGTTTTATTGAGGTACAACTGACATATAATAAACAGTACATATATATTGTATAATTTTGTAAGTTAAAAAATGTCTTAAGTGTGGTAAAATGCACCTAACATAAAATTTACCATCTTAACAATTTTAAGTGTGTAGTTCAATATTGTTAAGTGTATTTACATTGCTGTACAACCAATCTCCAGAACAATTTCATCTTACAAAACTAAAACTCTATACCCACCATACAGCAGCTCCTCATTTCCCCCTCCCCCACACCCTGGCAACCTCCATTCTACTCTCTGTTTCTATGAATTTGACTATTCTATATAACCCATATAAGTGGAATTATGCAGTATTTGTTTTTTTGTGATTAGCTCATTTCACTTAGTGTAATGTCTTCAAAGATCATCTATGTTGTAGCATATGCCAGAATTTTTTTCCTTATTAAAGCTGAAAAATATTTCATCGTGTGTACACACAACATTTTGTTTATTCATTTATCTTGATGGACACTTGGGTACTTGGGTTGTTTCTTTCTTTCTTTCTTTCTTTCTTTCTTTCTTTCTTTCTTTCTTTCTTTCTTTCTTTCTTCCTTCCTTCTTTCCTTTCTTTTTTTCTCTTTCTTTTCTTTCTTTCTTTCTTTCTTTTTTTTTTTTTTTTTGAGACAGGATTTCACTCTGTTGCCCAGGTTGGAGTGTAGTGGTGCAAACACAGCTCACTACAGCCTTGACCTCCTGGGCTCAAGCAACCCTTCAACCTCAGCCTCCTGAGCATCTGGGACTACAGGCCTGTGCCACCACATCTGGCTAATTTTTGTATTTTTGGTAGAGACAGGGTTTCACCATGTTGCCCAGGCTGGTCTCGAACTCCTGAACTCAGGTGATCCAACCGCCTTGGCTTCCCAAAGTGCTGGGATTACAGGCATGAGCCACCATGCCCAGCCTTGTTTCTACTTCTGAGGAGGTTTGAGTAAGGACATATTTGCTCTATACCTTAGTCCAGCCTGACCTTTGTCAATAAGACATATCACATATCATCCAATGGACCCTTTATATGAATTGACCAAAATATTGTGGTCATCCCCTGTTTCCTACTTACTGTGTCACTGCTTAGGCTTCTGTGTGTGCCAGTTTTCAAAATCTTGAACTCTTGTTGGATGAATCTCACTGCCTTCAGCCTGATATAGTGCTGGCTTCAGGAAACCTCTCTTAGATCATTCTTACCCTAACTCTTGTTCTTCCACACTGTTTTTGTTAGTCTGACAACAGCGTAGGACTGGTGGATGCCTCTCTGAGTAAGCCTTTCTGGGTCAAATTAATTCCCCTTTTCACTGAGACTTGGCAAGCCCTGTGATATAGTTAGAATAAGGAATGCTATTGCTTTCTAGCCAAAGTGATATATGTCTTAGTAGATTTCTTTTAATTAGTAGTGACTGGGGATGTTTTTATGTCTCTGGATGAATCCTTCCCATCCAGAGTAATTATTATTCACTTGAGAAAGCAAACTAAAATTTTATGTTTCTCATAAATGTTTGAAAAGAAGCCACTTCATATTCCAGGAGAGGAAATCACAGGCTTGCCATGTGGACGGTCTATTTGAGGGCTCTTGGCTTTGAAATAAACATCTATCCAGTTTAGCCTCTGTGTGAGGAGCAGCATTTGATGCCACTAGGTGAGAGTACGCACAAGCTCATCCCTGCAGAACTCTGCCAGCTACTCCTTTCTGCACTGGTGGGCCTTATTAGTGTCACATGATCATTTCAAATAGGCCAAGTGGCTTTTGATTTCTAAGTCCCCTGCTTCTCTGTGGCTTATGCCATTCTACAAGAATCTAAATTCTATGATAATATAAGCTTATATAATACTACCAAACACGAGAGCACATTTTGTATTTCACTAGTCTAAGTTTGAGTACCTAGTAATTTTGAATTACATGACTAATCAACCAGTTGTCCTGCTGTGAACCTATCCCTTGCAGCCCTGAGTGTGGGTGGAAGACAAGGGTTTCCCCTCGGGTAGAGATGCTACACAGATGTCCTGGAGGAAGCGAGTATTTTTCGTAAATAGAGGGAAACAAAAGGAAGAATTGTACACATCTCCTCAAGAGGGCTCAGCTGAACAGGAAGGTCTGGAAATGCCTGAAGCTACCCTCAGTAAGAGGCAGGAGAGCAAAGAGAATGAAATGTTACTGCAAGATTTATGAAGGACTTGATTTATAAAAAGCTCAGAACTGATTTAATTGGGGCCAAGACCTCAACTTGAGAGGGATCTGACATACAAAGAATGTAGTGAGGCTGCTTTGCCCACCACTGCAGCTGGCTTGGATGTCACAGGCAAAATACATTTCTAAGGACATAAAAGTTGCCTATACATATACCATCTTAATATAATTTCCAATATTTGTAGAGTGAACCATAGTCTTCCTCACTGCTTAATTATTTGATTTTCATTCTCTGATCTCAGAAGAGAGTCATTTTCTTTTTCCTCTTACAAAGGATCTATTGATAAACTGGTTCCAGCTTTGTCTGTTCCATTCTTGGGTATGTGTGTCTTAATACCTCAGTCTCTTCTTAATCCCTCAGTCTCTGATTTGACAAGAATATTAGGACACCAAAGGAAAAACAAACAAATAAAAAAACTCTACCTAGAAGACATGCTGAATAGTAACAGAGAATGAGGTAGAATGTTCCCCTTTCATGACCCAAGAACTGATGAAATTTAAATATTATCATAAACTTATTGCCTCTGAAATACCTATGCATGATAGATACTTGGAGAAGGTCACAGGCCCAGTTTTGTCAGGCAGTAGTGAGAATACATTTAGGGTCATAGTTCAAGGCATAGTTCTGGTTGAAAGAGTTCATTGAAATACAGATTTAAGTCCATGCCTGAGAGGCCTGATTTATTCAGCTCTAAAGTTCTAAGGCCATTATCTTGACCCATTAGCATATATTTATGTAGGCTATTTGATTAAAATATGAAATTAAATGATCAGAATGTATTTTTCCAGTAGCACCACCCAAAACTTGCATTAACTGATGAGCTCTGATTTTTATCATTTGATTTAGTTAACTCCACAAGTTTGAACCTACCTCTATGGAACAAAGGCCATAATCTATCATACTTTTTAAAAAATGGACAATCTTCTACTGTAGATTATTAGCTTTTCTGGTATTTCAGCTAAGCTTCATGCACATTTACTCTAACACATTATAGGTCTCGGTGTATCAATCTGATATTTTACAAGAGGAGCAGAATCTGCTAAGAATACAGGCATATGTCATTTTATTGCACTTCACTTTATTGTACCTGCAGATATTATGGTTTGTTGGTTTTTTTCTTTTTTTTTTTTAAGACAGAGTCCCACTCTGTCACCTAGGCTGGAGTGCAGTGGCACAATATTAGCTCACTGCAACCTCCTCCTCCCAGGTTCAAGTGATTCTCCCACCTCAGCCTTTCCAGTAGCTGGGATTACAGGCACACCACCACACCCAGCTAATTTTTGTATTTTTAGTAGAGACAGGGTTTCTCTATGTTGGCCAGGCTGGTATCAAACTCCTGACCTCAAGTGATCCACCCCCCTTGGCCTCCCAAAGTGCTGAGACTATAGGCATGAGTCACTGCACCCGGCTGGGTTTTTTTTTTTTTTTTTTAAACGAATTGAAGGTTTGTAGCAACCTTGTGTTGAGCAAGTCTATCGGTATCATTTTTTCAACAGGTTGTGCTCATTTTGTGTCTCTGTGTCACACTTTGGTAATTCTTGCAATATTTAAAATTTTTTCATTATTATTATATCTGTTATGGTGATCTGTGATCAGTGATCTTTGAAGTTACTTTGTCATTGTTTGGGGTGCCACGAATTGCACCCATATAAGAAGGCAAACTTAATGGATAAATGTTGTGTGTGTTCTGACTGCTCCACTGACCAGCTGCTCCCCCATCTCTCTCCCTTTCTTCAGGCCTCACTATTCCCTGAGACACAGCAATATTGAAATTAGGCTAGTTAATAACTCAACAATGGCCTTTAAGTGCTCAAGTGAAAGGAAGAGTCATACATCTCTTATTTTAAATCAAAAGCTAGAAATGATTAAGCTTAGGGAGAAAAGCATGTCAAAAGCTGAGATGGCCCAAAAGCTAGACTTCTTGCCCAAAGGCAAACAGTTAGCCAAGTTGTAAATGCCCATGAGTTCTTGAAGGGAATTAAAAGTGCTACTCCAGGGAACACACAATGATAAGAAAGTGAAACAGCCTTACTGCTGATATTGAAAATGTTTTGGGGGTCTGGATAGAAGATCAAACCAACCTCAACATTCCCTTAAGCCAAAGCTTAATCCAGAGAAAGACCATAACTCCCTTCAATACTATGAAGGCTGAGAGAAGTGAGAAAGCTGCAGAAGAAGAGATTGAAGCCAGTAGAGGTTGGTTCATGAGGTTTAAGGAAAAAAGCCACCTCCATAACATAAAAGTACAAGGTAAAGCAGTAAGTGCTGATGTAGAAACTGCAGTAAGCAATCCAGAAGATCTAGTTAAGATAAATAATGAAGGTGGCTGCACTAAACAACAGATTATCAGAGTAGACAATACAGCCTTCGATTGGAAGAGGATGCCGTCTAGTACTTTCATAGCTAGAGAGAAGTCAATGCCTTAAAAGCTTCAAAGGACAGACTGACTCTTATTAGGGGCTAATGCAGCTGGTGACTTTAAGTTGAAGCCAACGCTCATTTACCATTCTGAAAATCCTATGGCCCTTGAGAATTATGCTAAATCTACCCTGCTGGCTATATAAATGGAAGAAGAAAGCCTGGATGACAGTGCATCTGTTTATAGCATGGTTTACTGAATATTTTAAGCCCACTGTTGAGATCTGATCCTCAGAAAAGAAGATTCTTTTAAAAATATTACTGCTTATTGGCAATGCACCTGTTACCCAGGATCTCTGATGGAGATATACAAGGGGATGAATGTTGTTTTCATGCTGGCTAACACAACATCCATTCTGCAGTCCATGGATCAAGGAGTAATTTTGACTTTCAAGTCTTACTATTTATGAAATGCATTTTATAAGGCTATAGCTGCCATACATAGTGATTCCTCTGATGAATCTGGGCAAAGTCCATTTAAAACCTTCTGGAAATAATTCACCATTCTAGATGAAAAGAACATTTATGATTCATGAGACGATGTCAAAATATCAACATTAACAGGAGTTTGGAAGTGGATTCCAATCCTCCTGGATGACTTTGAGGGGTTCAAGACTTCAGTGGAGAAATTTACTGCAGATGTGATAGAAATAGCTGCAGATGTGATAGAAATAGCAAGAGAACTTGAATTAGAAGTGGAGACTGAAGATGTGACTGAACTGCTGCAATCTCGCGACAAAATTTTAATGCATAAGGAGCTGCTTCTTATGGATGAGCAAAGAAAGTGCTTTTTGAGTGGAATCTATGGGTGAAGATGCCATGAACATTGTTGAAATGACAAGCATTTAGAAGATTACACAAACTTAGATGGTAAAGCAGTAGCAGGGTTTGAGAGGATGGACTGTAATTGTAAAAGAAGTTCTACTATGGGCAAAATGCTATCAAACAGCATTGAATGATACAGAGAAATCTTTCATGAAAGAAAGTCAACTGTTGGGGCAAACTGTATTACGGTCTTATTTTTTTTAATTACCTCAGTCACTCCAACCTTCAGCAACCACCACCCTGATCAGTCAGCAGCCATCAACATCAACACAAGACCTTCCACCAGCAAAAAGATTACAAGATTACAACTAGCTGAAGGCTCTGATGATTGTTAGCATTTTTTTTGCAATAAAATATTTTTAAAATTACATTGTACATTGGTTTTTTCAACATAAGGCTATTGTACACTTAATAGAATACAGTATAGTAAAAACATAACTTTTATATACACTGGGAAACAAAAAAATTGTATGACTCCTCGTGTTACTGCAATATACATTTTATTGCTATAGTCTGGAACGGAACCTGCAATATCTCCAAGTTATGCCTGGAATATAAGACTGTTTACAGGCCACTATCTACTATTGCCTTGAACACTCCAATAATTCTAATCTCCACATGGCAGCCAGAGTTCATTTTTCTGATACTCGAGTCTGATGGTGTCATTCCTCTTCTTAAGACCATTCAATGTTTTCTACTGTCCTTGGGATAAAATCCAAACTCCTTAATGGAATACTTTCAAGGTTTAGGCATTCTTTCCAACCAGACGAATTAGGCTAACAGCAGATACTGTATTAATGGCTCCTCCTAGACAATGGACCAGCAGCAAGGTCCCCAAAAGTCCATGTTAGGAGAGAAAGAGGAGTGGAGTTGAGTCAGGGCATAATCCAAATAGCATGTATGTTACACCAAACAGCAAGAGCCTGGTTAATAACCAGGCCTCAGGTTCGCATTATGTAGCCCCTCCTGTCTCCACTGTCCTTCAGCTGGACTAGGTATTTCCTGGATCTTCTCTGCTAAGGCTGTAACCTCACAAGTAGATTTTATCTTTCACTGGCTTATTTCTTTCTAAGATCCAGCCATGCCAGTAGGGATCTAATTAGGATTGACTCAAACATGAGAAAGTCAGACTTAGTAATTGCAAATATTCTTCAGACTAGGTCTCAACCCATATAAAATTATTTCTTGTTGCATATACCAAAACATCTTCATTTTCTGAACCTAAATGTGGTCAAAATGACTTTTAAAGCATTTTTCCTGTTTTCCTTAGGCTAGAGTGAGTTGTTTCTGTCAATTACAACCACAGTCCTGACACACTGCAATTATTCAAGGCACCTGTAGGATGACTTTGATGTAGGTTGTCTGCCATAGAGAGTTAACAGATATGTGTTCTCTTTTATACTGGCCTCTGCAGACAGTTGGGCCATTTATCTAACTTTTGTAGAAAATAAGAACTATTTTAAAATTAAGATCATTGTTTTGAGCAGTTGGTCTCCAAGTGTTAATTGGTCATCCTGTAAGTACCATGTCATTTACATGATAACAAAGAGAAGTGCAATTTAATCAATCACTTAAGTACACAATTTGCTGTTTTATCCTGATGGCTTCACTGTAAAGCTATGTTGTTCCCAACTAGTCCTCCCATTAGAGTGTTTTTGGGTTTATTCTGCATACCTCTGGGCCAGCTCTGTAGGAGCAGATAACTATTCCTACCCATGGAAGTCTTATTTTTATTTACATTAAAAAAATTACCTTCTGGCTAGGCACAGTGGCTCATACCTGTGATCCCAGCACTTTGGGAGGGTGAGCAAGCGGACCACCTGATGGGAGTTCGAGACCAGTCTGACCAACATGGAGAAACCCCGTCTCTACTAAAAATACAAAATTAGCTGGGCGTGGTGGCACACGCCTGTAATCCCAGCTACTCGGGAGGCTGAGGCAGGAGACTCACTTGAACCTGGGAGGCGGAGGTTGCAGTGAGCTGAGATAGTGCCATCGCACTCCAGCCTGGGCAACAAGAGCGAAACTACGTCTCGAAAAAAAAAAAAATGACCTTCTAAGGCAGTGGTTCCCAAATTTTAGCCAGCATCAGAATCACCTGGAGGGCTTAGTAAACCACAGAATTCTGGGCTCTACACCTGATATTCAGATTCAGTAGGTCTGGAGTGGGAGCCAGATAATTTTCATTACTTATATGTTTCAGGTGATGGGATGCTGCTTGTCTGCTATCACAGACTACCCACACTAAAATAGACCCTCACTGGGCACAATTTGTCTTCTCTTTGGCTCTTCATAAAAGCCTTATTGGGAGAGGTAATCTACCTGGAGGACACAGTCAGCTATTCAGCATATCCACTTTTCTAGACTAGGGGTTCCAAACTCAAATGCATGCAGGGGCCAGGGAGATAACCCAAAGGAGGACAGGGCAGTGGATGGGAAGATAGAAAAGGAATGTGCACATTTATATGCATATGCTGTGGAAATGGTGAGTACTAAGGAAAACTGGAGAGTGTGGGTCCCACCTAAAGGAATGTCATTCTATAGCATGGTGGTTTAGATCACAGACCCCTGAGGAGGTTTCACTGCTTACTAGTAATGTGCAATGTGACCATGTGACAAGTTTAGGCAGGTTTTCCAACCTCTCCATGCCTCAGTTTCTTCACCTACCTTACAGGATTCTTAGGAGGATTAACATAACTAAATAATTTAGAAGACAAGATATTAATACTATATTAGTAATAATATCAAAGGCTTTTGTAATACTACTATATTTACATGGCACTAGTTGAAGCGCAGTATACTTGTTAATTTATTTAATCTTTACAACAACCTAATAGATAAGCACAATGAATCACATTTTACTGATGAGTAAACGGAGGAACAGAACAGTTAACAAGTTCCCACAGCTAGTAAGGGGTGGAGTTGGAGGGCAGCTAGACAGGCCGGCCCCAGGGTCCTGCTTTCACCGCCACACACTGGCACAGAAGCATCGCCGTTGCTCTGTAAAGGAGCAGCAGCCACTGAATCTTGGCCAGTTGGTGCTGCCATGTGGAATATGAGTTCAGTTTTAAGTGCTTATTTCTTTGTTATCTTTTAAGAGATGCTAGAAATCTCAATTTGTGTGTGCGTGAAATCTCCTGTTGTTTTAGTGTGGCTTAATTTTTCAAATCACTTGGGAGAGGGCTCAGAAAGAATACATCTTTGGGCCACTTTAGGTCTGCAGGCCACAAGCTTACAAACTCTGCCTCCACCCTGGAGGTGTGGAGGGTCATGTAGTGGCCAGTTATTCAGCTGGACATGGCTAGGGCAGAGCAGTCCTTTTGTAATGCTGGATGTTGTGCCTTCCTAGTAAGTCAATTCATTTCATAACACTTTGTAACACATTTGTCCTTCGGTAGCCTCTGCTTTGAGCCCGTGGCCTTGCAGCCCTTCTCTTTCTTTCCTGTCATGTTTTCTCAGACCCAGACCATAGAAATGTCTCACTTGTCTAGGTTGCACCTAATTCTTCTCTACCGAAACGTTGATTCCTCCGTCCTTAGGATGGATAATGATTACAATTTCTGAAATAACAACAGAACAATGTCAGTAGATAATATCGCCATTAAACTAATCACTTGTCACTTCTTAAAAATTCCTTGATTGGGATCTTTTTTTAATGTAAAATAAGCACCTCCCTAAATTTCCAGTACTTGAGATGTGAAATTTTGTCGAACATGATTACTTAATGCAAGGAATACCTGAAGAGCGAGACCACAAAACCAGGTGAATCCTTCTTCCAGCAGCAGAGCCGTAACCATGGCTTGAATCATAGCCCACATAACTGGCCTGTCCAATCAGAAATACTAAGGTTAGATATGTGTCATGATGACATATCATTAGTTTCCTAAAATAAATAGAGGCTATTTGTTCCAGCTGGATCTTATTAGTGGCTTTTCTATTTTGTGCTTGGTCAGCCCCCGGGCCAACCTCCCAGGCTGAGCTGCTGATAAGGCCAAGAAAGGCTTTCCCATGCACCAACTCTGCTGGGACAATTGATCAAGACCACAGAGCACTAGTCAGCCTGGTGGTGAGAGTGAAGCAGTCCTCTCACAGAGTGGTATGAACAAGCTATAGCCCCTGACCTGGAATCAGATTCTGAAGCAAGTTTCTCAATATATGGTCAAGTAAACAACCTTTTAAAACGTTTATATGATTAGAAATGTGAATTTTTATTCATAAATTTGTCTTACTACTGCATGCAGAATTATCGCCACATTCAACAGTTGCATTTCTGTCTTTGAAATATTTGCTTTTCTGAGGGTGGTATGTTTGAAGACATCAACTAAAATACTCCCTGTGGAAGAACACTTAGGACATTTGTAACTTGCGCTTTGGTTTAACTCCTCAGAGCCAAATCGAATCTCATATGGAAGAGTTTAAAGACATTTAATGTTGTGGAGCAGTTCATTGTAGCTGAGAGAAAAGAAGATGGAAGCGAAGGAAGAAGACTAGAGAAAGGGAGAGGGAAGTTGCTGCTATGAGCTTAGAAAGGCCTAGAAATATAGAAGAACTGGGTGAAAATTCTAGCCACTGCTGGCTTTTATTTCACTTGTATTTGGCAATTACTTGATTCTAGGTGCCTTACCATAGAAAATATAATTATAGGTCATTAACTTTTATAATTTACTGTGATGTAGCTGAATTTAATACAAAAGCTTGGCACAAACCCATCAAGTATTGAGTCCCTTTCTGGATGAGGACACATAGAGAAGTTCAATTTAGAATGAAGACTCTAAAATTTCCCAAAGAAAACCTGCCATCTTGCTGTGGGAACCGTAATCTAGGTCTCATCCTCAGCTTTGCAAGGTCCACAACCCAAGCTTTTTAGCTCACATGGAAATGACTGGGCTCAGGGGGACTGATTATATCAAACAACTCATGAGAAACTAGCTCCCAATATATATAGTCTCTGAGGAAATGTGAATATCCATGTTGGCTGGTCAGCACCATCTCTCCTCTGTTTGAAAGTCTACATGGAAAGCCAAATTATTATCAGAAAGTTACTTCATGAGCAAGGAATTTAGCCGGGAGTGAGCTGAGCTCTTAATGCATCTCCATTGCCCCAGGAGACTGAGTGCTGGAGCTGCAACAACAGACAGTTTTTGTTTCCTCTTTCTCTAGATTCTGTGCTTTCTCTCAACTCTTTCAGTAACTGTTCTTACCTCAGATTGGTAAATGCCACTTATAGGGCAACAACTTTCTTCCACATTGCTATGCCTTTATTAGATTTCTAGGCTCTGCTTTACATATTTAAATTGGGAGATAACTAGTCCCTAGGGAACTTCTAAAGTTATTATTCCAGTATAAGGCATTTATTTTCCTGGTTTGCCCTTGTGAGAAGGAAAACTGGTTCCCCACTGCTCAAGTTTTAATGCAGAGGGATTTCCATTAGGGTCATACTCCTGCCTTTTCCCCTAAGGAGGAGAATGGACTTATCTCGTAGATGAATTTGAGAAATGGTCTTGAGTGTGGGTGATTCTGCCTCTTCTAAGACCCCTCTTCAGATCTGCAGCATGGCAAGAAGATAACACTGTGATGCACTCTTCAGCTGTGTAACAAGAGTCTTGTCCCTACAAAGCAAGGCCTCTGTCAGTGACCAGGTGCATAAATCTGTCTCATCCAGAGGGAGAAAAGGGTGTAATTATTAGAGCCATCTGTGGCCACCCTACTATAGCTTCCCATAGTGGCGATAAAGAATGTGCCAGCAAGCACACAGCGCCAGATGGATGGACTTTTGAGCGCTCCATTTACCCCTTGATTCCTGAAGCACTGGAGGCCCTTGTTAGCACTCAAGCTGCAGAAAGAACTCTACTGTTGTTTTCCTATCATTTCGTTTTTGTTGAACAATGACAGAACACATTGACTTGAGCAGGGACCAACTTATATTGGATGAATAATTGTTTTATTATTATTTAACTTTTTCCTGTACTCATCTTGCCACCTTTATAACATCCAGACCCTAAGAAACACTAAAGCTATTTCCAGAATCCTAAAGATGGTTAATTCCATCTTGATACTTTTGGTCCCCTCTTTTACTCTTTTCCTCATTCTAGTTGCTGACCAAATGCATCTCCCTTGGGCCCTGATATGGTTTGGTTTTGCATCCCTGCCCAAATCTCATGTTAAATTGCAATCCCCAGTGTTGGAGGAGGGGCCTAGTAGGAAGTGATTGGATCATGGGGACAGATTTCCCCTTTGCTATTTTTGTGATAGTGAGCGAGTACTCAAGAGATTTGGTTGTTTAAAAGTGTGTGGCACCACCCCCACCTTCCCCCTGCTCCATCCATGTAAGATGTGCCTGCTTCCCCTTTGCCTTCGGCCATGATTGTAAGTTTCCTGAGGCCTCCCCAGCCATGCTTTCTGTACAGCCTGTGGAACTGTGAGCCAATTAAATCACTTCTCTTCGTAAATTACCCAGTTTCCGGTATTTCTTTATACTAGTGTGAAAATGGACTGATACAGGAGCTCTATTCTCCATTTACGTTCAGCTTCGTTCTTCTCACTCCTTCTTTTTGGGCTTCCTGCCATTATGGCCTCCATTCTTATGGCAGGAATTCTTTCCATTATACTCTTTCAGCACTTTCTTTCATCATTTTAAACCTCTTCTTGACACTCCTCTAATAGTTCTCTGTCCTACTCCCAACCCCTCAACAACCTTTAGGGAGGGGCTCATCCTCCCATCTCCAGGGCTCCCAGAGCTGTAAATCAGAACTGGCATTTTCCCACCTCCAGACAGGCCCTTCTAACCCAGTGTTCCTCCAGACCTGATTCAAAGTCCACCTGAAGCTCATGATATCTTGTCTTTCCATTCAGACCCTGCACCTTTAAGCCAAGCAGACCACATCTTCACCACTAGATCTTTCTTCTAATGCCTTCATCCCTTATTATTTTGAATTCCTATATAGTTCTTTGTCTTTTCTAGATGAAGCTAATCTTGTAGAAAAAAATGAAATTTTCTATTCCCAGAACTGAGCAATTCTTAGATTTGGTAGTTTTGCCAAATTTCCCCAAAGGAAACAAACCATGATATAAACACATTGTACCCTTAATGAAGTATCTTATGCTCCTAATGAAGTAAAAAATGCAATATAAAATTTTAGTGTCTCAGAAAATGGTGCTGAAAAAACTGGATATCTACACACAGAAGAATGAAGTTGAACCCTTACCTTACATCATATTCAAAAATTATGTCCAAATACATCAAAGACCTAAATGTCAGAACTAAAATTATAAAACTCTTAGAAGAAAACATATGGAAAAACTTTTGTGACATTGGATTTGGCAATGATTTCTGGGATGTAACATCAAAAGCACAGGCAACAAAATAAAAAAAAAACAGATAAATTGAACTTCATCAAAATTAACAGCTTCTGTTCACTAACACATACTACCAACAGAGTGAGAAGGGAACTCAGAGAATAGAAGAAAATATTGGTAAGTCATATATCTGATAAGGGATAAATATCCAAAATATATAAAGAACTCCTCTACCACTACAACAACAAACAACAAAAAAATGGTCAAAGGACTTTGTATTAGTGGGGTTCTCCAGAGAAACAGTAAGATATACATAGATGTATAGAAAGAGGTTTATTATTATTAGCTCATATAGTTGTGGAGGCTGAGAAATCCCATATTCCCAGTTCCAATCTACACATGAAGGCCTGAGACCCAGGGGAGCCACTGATGTAGTCCCAGTAGGAATCCAAAGGCCCAAAAACCAGGACCACCATTGTCTGAAGACAGGAGAAGATGGATGCACCAGCTCAAGAAGAGAGAGCAAATTCACCCTTCCTCCACCTTTTTGTTCTATTCAGGCCCTCAAGACATTGGATGATGTTCACCCACATTGGTGAGGGTGATCTTCTTTACTCAGTCTACAAATTCAAATGCTAATCTCTTCTGGAAACACCCTCACAGACACACCCAGAAATGATATGTTACCAGATATCTGGGCCATCCTTTAGCTCAGTCAAATTAACATATAAAATTAACCATCACAGACTTGAATAGATATTTCTCTAAAGGAGATATACCAATGACCAAATAGCACATGAAAAGATGCTCAACATCTCTAGTCATTAAGGAAATGCTAATCAAAACCACCATAAGCTACTACTTCACACTCATTACGATGGATGGCTATTATGTAAAAAAGATAAAATAACAAGTGTTGGTGAGGATGTGGAGAAATTGAAACCCTTGTTCATTGCTGGTATGTACGGAATATAAAAATGGTGCAGCTATGTGGAAAATAGTATGGTGGTTTCTCAAAAAATTAAACATAGAATTACCATATAATCTGGCAATTCCACTTGTGGGTATATACCCAAAAGAATTGAAAGCAGGGACTCAAAAACAAAAACACCTACGTTTACAACACCATTATTCACAATAGCCAAAAGGTGGAAGAAACCCAAGTGTTCACTGATGAATGAATAGATAAATAAAAGTTGAGACACACATACAATTCAATATTATTCAGCCTTTAAAAAGATGGAAATTCTGAAACATGCTACAACATGGATTAACCTTGAAGGCAGCATGCCAAGTGAAATAAGCCAGACACAAAAAGACAAATATTGTATAACTCCACCTATGAGGTACTTAGAGTAGTCGAGTTCAGTGACAGAAAGTATAATGGTGGTTTCCAGGGGCTGATTGGAGGGGAGAATAAAGAGTTATTATTTAATGGGTACAAAGTTTCAGTTTTGCAAAGTAAAAGGAATTCTGGAAATGGACGGTGGTATGGTTTCACAACAATGTAACAAACGCCACTGAACTGTGCATTTAAAAATGGTTCAAATGATAACTTTTATGTTACGTGTATTTTATCACGATAAAAATAGTCTCCAGGGAATCAATTCATTTCCATATATGGAAAACAATTTTATTGAGCAGTTACTGAGATAACGATGTGATGTCTATATTTCAGTCCCTCACTCTACAATCTGCCCTCATGGAGCTTATATTTCAGTAGTGAGAGATAGACAATAAATAAGATAAATAAGTAAAATACACAATATATTAGATGATGAGTAATGAGGAGGAAAGGAAAATGGGGAAGTACAATGGGGAATATTGTATGTGCATGTGTGTGCACATATGTATGTTAAAATTTTAGATAGGGTGGCCAGAGAAGGCTTCACTGCAATGAAAAAAAAAATGAGCAAAGCCTTGAAGGAGGTGAGGAAGCAAGTCCCATGAATATCTGAGGAAGGGACATGTTCTAGGCAAAGAGAACAGTAAGTGCAAAGGCCCTGAGACAGAAGCATGTCTGGTATATTTGAAGAATGTTAAGAAGCTAATGTGGTTGAAGCAGAGTGAGTGAGTGAAAGATTAATAGGAAATTAGACCAGAGGGGTAAGGAGTTGGTGGGAAGGAGTGTGAAGATCATGTACAGTCAGTTAGGTCAATGTAAAAATTTTGGAGGACTTTTCCAGCCAGACAAGAAACAGATAGAATTTTATTCATTGTATGCAAAGAATCAGTGTGGCATATTTTAGAGTTGCAAGCTATTCAGCATAGCCGGAGTTCAGTGCTGACTGGGAGCAGAATCACTGGGGAAACAGTAAAAGAGAAGGCTGGAAAGGAAGGCAGAAGCCAGGTAATGAAGGGGCCTGTAAGTCACACAAGGACTGTATACTTTCTTCTATGGGTCCCTGAGGTCAAGTAGTTTTGTTTGTTTGTTTGTTTAAGGGGTCTTGCTCTGTTGCCCAGACTGGAGTTCAGTGGCACGATCTCAGCTCACTGCAACCTCCACCTCCTGAGTTCAAGCGATTGTCTCGACTCAGCCTCCCGGGTAGCTGGGATAAGGTGCCCGCCACCACGCCCGGCTAATTTTTTGTATTTTTAGTAGAGATGGGATTTCACCATGTTAGCCAGTATAGTCTCAATCTCCTGACTTCGTGATCTGCCCACCTCAGCCTCCCAAAGTGCTGGGATTACAGGCGTGAGCCACCGCGCCTGGCCCCCAAATAGTATTTTTTGAAAAGTATTCTGATTGTTGTGGGGAGAATAGCATGGAGAGAGAAAAGCCTTCAGACAGAGAAACCAATTAGGAGATTATTAGAACTGAAAATAAATCAGTAAAAGGGAATGAAGAGAAGGGATATATTTGAGAAACATTTGGGAAATGTTGATCAGACTCAGTTGAATTTGTGAGATGATGAAGAGGGAGAGTTTTAAGAAGATTCAAGGGAGGATACGGTTTGCTGAACTAAGTAAATGGTGATATTCACCAAAATAGGAGGGAAAATAGAGAAGTTGCTTTGGAAGAGCAGAAAATATGAGTTCAGTTTGGGACATGTATAATTTGAAGTACCAGTGAGAATCCCAATGGACATAATCAGTGGTTACCTGGAAATCTGGATCTGATATCTGAGAAAGCAATTGGGTCTAGAGATACGAGTTTGGGGAGCAGAATATAACAAATAATCTATGCATGTGTGAGAGTGAGATTGTATAGAGCAACAGTGAAAAGAAAGAAAAGAAATAGGTAAGGATTATTGGAGGGAGAAAAGCCTGCAAAGGTAAGACTGGCAAGAAGTGGTCACAGAGTGTTTGTCCTAGAAGCCAAGAGAGAAGAGAATTTGAACTAGGAGGGAGTGGGTAACAATATCTAAGAGCATTAGAAAGTCAAATAAAATAAGGATTTCAAAGTGCCCTCTGAAGTTGGTGAGCAACTGATCTGTGTCTGTAAGAGTGGTTTCAGTCTAGTGACAAGATGGAAGATTAATCAGCTATAAATGGCAAAGGTGAATCTTCCCCAGCTTCTTTGGGCCTTGTTCTTCTAATCTCTTTCCCATTGTTAATTTGGCTAAAAGAAACTTTCCTAGACATTGTATCCAGTCTTCTTTAGTCTGTAGTTCATTTATTGTCATTTTTGACAATGCTTATTTATTGTTTTTGCCTTGGATGTTTGTTCATGGTTGTATTTCAACCGGAAGTTGACAAGAGACACATCAGGCTGTAAACTCTATTCCCATGTCCACCTCACATTATAGTCAGCATCTTGGAAGCATTCTTCTTTTTCCTACTCAGCCTCAACCCGTGTTATCTTCCACTCACTCCTGGCAAACAACCTGGCAGTAAGGAAAGAGATAAGCAAAGACTGAATCGTCGTTTGACACACTTAGTAACTAGAAAAAATATGCTGTGAACCAAATCACGCATTCTATAAAATCTTTCCAACAGCAAACTGCATCTGACACTAGCCCAAGACTAAGAGAGTGGGAGCTGGAGGAGATCTCCCTTCAGTTCTGCAGACCTTACTAGATGAATTACTGCTAAGCAGTGCAAACTGAACTGGGGTGAAGAACATCAACCTCAATTTCATGTTTAAATTTGAAAGAGGGAAGCTGTAGTCTACCAAGAAGACAGTGAGGAAAACAAAATATGTGTTATGAAAAATTACTGTATCATCAGGAAAAATAGAGCATAGTCCCAAAAGCTCAGAGGAAGATCATTTTTCTCAAGAAAAAAAAAAAATCCTAAAAGTCCTCCAAAAGACAAAAGAGGATGTGGCTTCTATGAACTAAAAGCCAGAAATCCAAAGGAAAAATAGGCTAAATGAAGGAGGAGACTGGAAGAGAGTTGGTTAAAATAAAAAATAGATGTAAGAAAATTAAAAATGCAACAGCAGAGATTTACTTATTGTGGGGATGAAGGTGGTTGTATCACTACTGCTGTAACTAGAGAAAAATACCAGCTACATGAAAAAAAAAAATCATACATTATTGAAAGCCACTGAAGAGCTGTGGATGCAAAGAAGTACAAATAAATTTCAGAGAGAAATGGGGCTTTCCTAGATGAGCAGAGGTGGCAGCTGCTATCATCCCTGAGGGCATTACCTCTACCTGGGGGCACAGGTGGGCTAAGCAGTGAACTACCATTGGTGAAGATACTTGGTTAGGTCAAGGAAAAGCTAGCTGAGCTCTTGTCAGTGCACGTGGGCTGGCATGGTAGCTTGGAATCTGGTGGGGTCCCAAACACACAGCTAGGTCTTGTTACCCACCAAGTTTTCCTCATCAGACTTCTGTTGAATGAGCAGTGATGAGGCTGGTCTAGAAATGAAATACAGGAAAGATTTCATAGTTTTGTGATACTTATATCTCAAAGCCCTGACATTTAAAATAAGAGGTGAACTAAAGGGTGAAGTTTAACCCCAACCCAATCTATCAATCCTTGACTAGATAGAAGAGGTAAGCCTTACATACCACCCACCTGAAAGAGGAAAGGGCAAGGCTTTTCTGGGGGTAAATATCTAATTCTGCCTCTACTGTTCTCATATTTATAACTTCTGCCATGCAATAAAAAAGTCACCAGGCAAGCAAAGAATCAGGACATGTGACATACAATCAAGAGAATAAGTCAAATAAACCAGATGCACAAATGACCTAGATGTTGGAATTATTAGGTATGGACATTAAAATAACTTTTACAAGTATATTTAAAACAAAGAACAAGAGATATACAAAATGAATGAAAAAATGGTGGATTGATTGAGATAAATAGAAATCCCAAAAAGAAACAAATGGAAATTGTAAAACTGAGATATACAATGTCTGAAATGAAGAATTCATTTGCTGGGAAAAGCAGGAAAAGGATTTAGTGAAACCAAAGACAGGTCATTGTAAATCATCCGAACTAAAAAAGACAGAGAAAAAAGTATAAAGTCATAGTAAGAGAAAGGAGAAAGAAAAATATTCAGAGACAGAAACAGAGAACAATAAGAAGGCAGAAGAAATATTTTAAGAGAAAATAGTTGGGAATTTCCCAAAATTGATAAAACTCATCAACACCCAGATATTAAAAAGCTTAGTAGAACTTTAAGTAGCATAAATACAAATAAGTCTATACCTAAAACACTGCATAGTCAAACATCTGTAATCAAAAGTTAAAAAAAATATTAGAAACAGCCAGAAAACACACACATACACACACACTACAGGCTCAGATGGCTCTACTGGTGAATGCTATAAAACAGTGAAGGGAAAAATCATACCAATTCTACGAAAACTCTTCCAGAAAATAGAAAAGGAAGGCATACCTCCCAACTCATGTTATAAGGCCAGCATTACCCTGGTACAAAACCAATAAAGTATAAGAAAACTACATACAAAAATCCCTCATAAACACAGATGGAAAATTCTTAACAAAATTTTAGCAACAACATATAGAAATGATAATATAACATGAACAGGTGGGATTTATCCCAGGATTGCAGGGTTGGCATAGCATTTAAAAAGTCAATCAACGCAATCTACTATATTAACAGACTAAAAATTCATACATTTGTCTCAACAGATATGAAATATGGATTTGAAAAAATTTAAGACACATCTATGATAAAAACTCTAGCAAACTAGAAATAAAAGGGAACTTTTTCCTCCTAATAAGGGGTATCTACAGTATCATACAGCAAAATATCATACTTAATGGTGAAAGATTAAATACTTCTCTCCTGAATTCAGGAAAAAGGTTAAAATGTCCACTCTTGGCCACGTGTGGTAGCTCACACCTGTAATCCCAGCACTTTGGGAGGCTGAGATGGGCAGATCACTTGAGGCCAGGGGTTTGAGACTATCCTGGCCAACATGGCAAAACTCTTGTCTTTACTAAAAATACAAAAATTAGCCAGCTGTGGTGGCATGCACCTGTAATCCCAGCTTCTTCGGAGACTGAGGCACAAGAATCACTTGAACGTGGGAGGCGGAGGTTGCAGTGAGCTCAGATCACACCACTGCACTCCAGCCTGAGTAACAGAGCAATATTCTGTCTCAAAAAAAAAGTCCACTTTTATTTCTTCTCTTCAACATTATAGTGGAAGTGCTAGCCAGTTTTATAAGAAAAGAAAAAGAATTTAAAAGCATAGAGTTGGAAAGAAAGATGTAAAGCTATCTTTCTTCACAAATTACATGATTATCCATGTTTAAAATCCTAAAGAATCTACAAAAAAAAGTTACTTGAACTATAAGTGAGTTTAGCAAGTTTGCAGGATACAAGGTTAATTTACAAAAATTAGTTTTATTTCCACAAATTATTGACAAAGATCAGAAATTGAGATAAAATGCTATTTATAATAGCATCAAAATATGAAATACTTAGAAATAAATTTGACAAAAGATGTGCAGATCTGTACACTTAAAACTATGCATCATTGCTGAGCAAAATTAAAGACATAAATAAATGAAGAGATATACAATGCTCATGAATTGAAAGACTCGATATTATGATGTCAATTCTCTCCAAACTGATCTATAAAATTCAACACCATCACAAAATTCTAACAGGACTAGTAGGAATTGACAAACTGATTAAAAATCAATACGCAACATTTTTCTCCTTCACACTCTCACCCCTAACTCGGATCACAAGTTTTGTTGTTGATTTTAGTTTTTCCTTTCATTTTCATTTTCACCTCTGTAGACTAGGAATACTGCATCATAATATCCTCTTTCATTAGACAGCATTTGGCCTCCTTTCTTTCTTCGAGCCGTAATGGTTGTTGCAAAGAAACATGATTAGGTATGATTGAAAATGACAAAGACATAGTTTATTAGTTTCAAAATATGTTCACTATGAAAAAGAATGTATGAAAACATAGAATGGGCTGACTTGAAATGGACTGATTTCTTAGTCTCTGGACTATCTTCATTCAACCCTTATTCACCGAACACCTACCATGAACCAGACAACCACACACTGAGAATATAGCAATAAATAAGTCAGATATGGTCTCCATTCTCATAAATCCTGAGACCTATTAATAGTAGCATGTCCAGGATACTGAGATTTCCATATAGAGTAGAGATTTGAACTAGGTGACCCCAGAGTTCTCTTCTGAAGGTCTATATATGTATGATTCCAGAAAAACAAAAACAAACAAACACAACACCTTTGTCTTCTAATAAGACAAACACTCCTTTTGTGCCCTCTGTGTCTGGAGCTTGACACTCGTAGACTGAGTGCAGAAGGAAAAAGAACCCCAACACATACAAAATCCCCCCTCCAGCTTAAAGCAAAAGAATTTGCCTATCTCCCTCATTAATCAAATCCATCTTGTCCATGAGAGCTCCTGTGGGCCTCTGCCAGAGGGAAATGTCAAACACATGCTCTCTCTCAGGGCATGCTTACTCTCAGGAAAGCATGGAAGACACTATGTCAGAAAATGCAAACCTATTTCCAGGAAAGTTTACCTTTTGGCATTTTGGGAAGCATGGCTCTAGATGCTGCTTTAGAGACTCTCTGCTTCAGGAAAGTGAGGCAGCTGTGAGCCAATCCAAACTAGAGTAAGCAGATGGCCTGGCATTCTGGAAACATTCTAGGAATATTACTCCAAGAACTACCACAAAAATGAGAGAGAGTTCCAGGAAAACAAGGAATTGTTCCTAGACTGATGGCTTAGCCACACTAGGCCAGCAAAGAGGCATCTGTCCCCAAGAGCAGACTTGCTGGAGTCAGGGTAGAGGAGGCAGCTGGCTCTCCTTGCAAACTAATCAGTTTGATTCTCCTCGCCTTATTGGACATGATCCCCTTGGCTCCTTCCCAAAGACACCCCTTGGTCTGTGGGCCAATGTCCTGTCCCAGCTCCAATATCAGACTCGGGAGCAAGCTTGAAGTATTTCAGAAAAGAACGTGAATGGATGGCAAATTATCATCCCATTAACAGTTTTGCCCAAAGTGCTCCATATCTTTGTTCATGCTTTTTCTTCTTCCTGGGATGTTTTCTGTCTTCTCTCCTGTTGAATCCCTACTTTTCGTTCCACAGTTATCTCCAGTGCTACTTCTTTCATGAAACTTTCCTGGATTCCTTCAGCTCCAAATAATCTCTTCTCATAGCATTCTAAATTCTCCTATAGCAAATATTATACTTTTTATTATAGCAATTTGTACACACCTTACCCTGTTTTCCTCCCTTAACTTTTAAAAAAATTAGATCCCCGAGTACTGGGGATCCTATCTTCTTCTTCTTTATATCTCATTTAGCCCCTAAAGCCCTTGTGTTTTCTTCCAACCACGCTGCCTTTGCACATGGTAGGATTAAGAAAAACTCTGGGGAATGGAGATGAGAAAACAATCCTCATAGCAATCAGGGGTAAAAATTAGAACCTTCCCACTCCTGCAAATGACAAGATCAGGTCTCTTCTACAGTCTCTCTGAGGTCTATGAGGGCCTCTCTGTCCCAAAAATCTGAAAAATTAGGAAACTCAACTCATACTAAGTAATGCCTAATTCATTCTGAATTGCTGGGCAATAAGCAGTTCTACCTAACTGAATTTTCCGGATCACTGGAGCTTACCTATCAGAATCTAAAAAAAATTTTAAGTGATTTACAAAACACACTTTTCTAAAAGCACTTGAAATATCTCTGGAAAATTCCAAAAGAGATTGGTTATAGTTGTATCCATGGAGGATAACTGGGAGATTAGGGAATCAGGGTGGGAAGGAAATGGATTTCTCAGTACGTATTTGTGAATTTTGGATCATGCTCATCAACTATGTGTTAATTTAAAATTAAGGACACACTTCCTTACTTCCTTAAATATAGTTGCTAAACCTAACTTTCCTTTCTGAATCATGGTCATTATTATAAATATTATTGTCTTGCTACTAAATAGTGTAATTCCAACAAAGGATATTAAAATAACGTAGAGTTATTTGCTTCTACACTAAATAGCTCCCAATCTGCTAAGCCTCCAGAGGCTTTGGGTTTTGTTTACTTTTTAGGTTTTCTCTCTCTTCCCCGGCAGCTATCACTTTTTGTGGTGATCAGAGTGACTGCTGATAGTAACCACCACCCTACTTCTGATTTGCTTCTTTTGTTCTGATGTAACTTGAAAGTCAAATGATTTCAGATGATAAATAAGATATATTAAATAGAGACGAGAAGAAGAGGATTCTAGGAGTTTGGTTTTTTGTTTGTTTTTAAATGCTACCAGCTATGTGGGCTAGAGCAGATTGGCCTGAATATGCCCCCAGGTTTATCCTCTGGCTCAAAATCACATGGTCCTTGTGCTAGGCAGCCTGATAAACACCAAAGTAGTTACCTGGTTACCAGAGTGCCGCTAGAGGCAATGGCTTAGAAAACTAAAGATAACCCTCACCCTACTCTCCGTGGAGGGCACAAGGAGACTACTGAGATTACACCAGGAACTCAGACAATGTGGAAGAATGATGTCGTATGATATGTGGACTTCATGACACATGATGTCTTTTTTGATCTCTCTATGGCTTTTCTGCTTATTTCTATTTTTGGGGAGTGGTGGCAGGGATTTTGGGGTTTTTTGGTTTGTTTTTTACTATATTCTAGATATCTGAGAGACTACATAAATGTCTTCTAGATAACTAGAGTTACTATTAATATCATCATTAAAATTATCGTTTTTCTTTTTATCTGAGTGAGGTTTAAAAATTACAAAAAAGCAACCTAGCTAATTAACTGGGGACATGGATTTAAGCAACACCACCTCCAGATTTAGGTTAAGCAGCACCTTTGTTATGCTCAGATCTGCCACCAAGAAGGTGGGGCCTTGAGCATTACCACCCTGGGAGAAAGTATAAAGCATTTGAAAAATTATTGGAGAATTTAGAAGAGATTTGAAAATCAAGGTTAGAGAGGAAGAAGATGCCATAAATATGGTGTTAATGTTCAAAAAGGAAAGCAAAAGAAAGCTAATTGTGGAACTTACTGGCTAGTAAATTAGATAGTCACAGTAATAAAACAGATGTTAACAGTGAAAATCCATCGCCATCTGGAAAGGGTAATGTCACAGAGGATTTATGGAAAGAAGTGAGTTCAAGCAACTCGGCAGAGGAGAAAAACAGCGAGGCCAGGTTTTTAGTAAATGGTTTGGAACTTGGGTAAAAAATTTTGCTCACCCTGCCATGCCATTTCTCCTCTAAGGCCAGCTCAAATTGCCTTGGATGAGAATGTGGTCACATGGACTCAACAACTGGCTGGGAAGATCATAAATAAAGAATAATGATATACATACCCAGAAACAGCTCCAGTGAGTGGAGTTGGGGGAGGGGGCTAAGTGCACTTCCCCAGAGAGCGGGGTCAGGTCTGGTTTCATTTAACATCTTTGCTAATGATTTGAAAGCAGGAACAAACAAATGTCAAGAAAATGCACAAAGCACATCAACTAGAGACAAGGCACACATCAACTAGGAATGTTACGGAACAGGACTGAGGCAGTTATGAAAGGGAGCTGGAAATAACCTAGGTCAAAGCAGCCTAGGAGAATAATCTGCCATGGTTTGAATGTTCCTCCCAAAACTCATGTTGAAATTTAATTGCCGTTGTGACAGTATTAAGAGGTGGGACTTTTAAGAAATGATGAGGTCATGAGGGCTTTTCCTTCTTGAATGGGTTTATGCCATTATTGTGGGAGTGAGTTTTTTATTCCAGGCATTCGGCCACCTTTTGCTCTGTCTTGCATGCACAGCTCCTCATCATGTGATGCCCTCCACCATGTTATGATGCAGCAAGAAGGTCCTCACCAAATGCAGTCCCTCAATCTGGGACTTCCCAGCCTCCAGATCCATGAGCCAAATAAATCTCTTTTCTTTATAAATTATCTAGTCTGCAGTATTCTGTTATGACAACAGCAAGTGAACTAAGACACAATATTAAATTAAAAAACAGTCACTCTTCAAGGTTGTGTGGAGAAGGGGTGATAGCTGGAGGGGAAGAGTAGGAAATAAGGGTGGCCAAGAGCTGCCCCAGGGACAAATAATGTTTAATAGCATAGCATGGTAATGAGGAAGTCCAACAGAACAGAGGTCCAGTTTTGTACGTATGTGGCTGTGGTTCAATAAATGTGAAATGATAACTGTCCCATTTATTCAGGGTCAGAGGGAGAAGAAAAAATGGTAGGAGTGTTCAGATTGGATTTTAGACGTTTAACCTGAACATTCAGACCAAAGGGTGTGCATCTGTGCACTCTTGTGTCAGACTTCTAGAATATTTGAAGTCCCATCACCTAGCACAGTACTTAACACATAGTAGGTGCTCAGTGATTGTGAGAGAAATGCAGGAAGTATATCTGTGATCATCGAGTGATAATGGAGTGAGCGTTGCAGCCAAGGGTTTTTGCATCCTTGAGATTTGGGGGTCTCTGTGATTAAAAGAAAAAGAACCAGGAGCCACTAGGTGTTTAAGCAAATAGTGACAACCGCCCCAGCTTCTGCTCTGGGGCCCTACCTGCCCCATCTCTGCCTGTGAAAATGGAATTGTGGTGTGTCTGCAACCCCTCTGGCTCTGCCACCCGTGCTCCTGGCCTTGCCTAAGTGACTAGTCACCTATGATCAAACAGTACTGTCTTGTGCTCTGTACCTGCCCCACAATATTCTGGCTCTATCCAGGACCCCGCTTGGATTCATGAATGGTATCTTTATTTTCCCTAACTCTGAGTCAGCAGCTCAGAGGAGAGGCCCAAGCTTCTTGTCCCACCATCACCAAATGCAACACCACTGAATCCCCCTGTACCTCAAAATCCACTGTGCCTCTAGACTGTCTAGAGTAGGGCTTCTTAAACTTTAAAGTGCATAAAATCTCCTGGGCAGGGAGACTCTGAATTTCTAACAAATTCCCAGGTAATGCCAGTGTTTTCTGTTATAATACATTTGTTTGCATTTTCTAGAATTGTATATAAATGGAATCATATAGTATGCACGATTTTATTTGCCTGGCTTCTCTTACTCAGCATAATTATTTTAAATTCATCCATATTTTTGCATACATCAATAGTTCATGCTTTTTTATTGCTGAGTAGTATACAATTTGTTCCCCATTCACCTGTTAATGGAGATTTTAGTTGTTTCTAGTTTTTGACTGTTACAAATAATGCTGTTATACATTTGTGTGTACGTTTTTGTACAGCTATATGTTTTGATTTCTCTTGGGTAAATACCTAGGAGTAGAAAGGCTAGAAGTTCTGTAGGCATCTATTTAAATCTTTAAGAAACTGACAAAATGTTTTCCAAAGTGTACCATTTTACATTCCAACCAGAAATATATGAAAGTTCCAGTTCCTCCACATTTTCATTAACACTTGATATGGCCAGATGTGTAAATTTTAGCCATTCTAATAGAAGAGTAATTATCTCTTATTGTGGTTTTAATTGCATTTCTCTAATGATTAATGATATTAAACATATTTTCATATACTTATATGCCATCTGAATATCTTCTTCAGTAACGTGTCTGCTCAAATCTTCCACCCATTTTTTTTTCTTGTTATTACTGAGTTTTCAGAGTGCTTCATTACATCCTGGATCAAGTGTTTTCTTAGATAGAAGATTTACAGATATTTTCTCCCACTTGATGATTATCTTCTCATTCTCTTGAAAGTGTCTTTTAAAAAGTAAATTTCTGTCCATTTTGTCGGTAGAGGCAGAAGGAGAAGGTCGGATTGTAGAAGCTGGGGTGGCCGGCAGCTCGCTCATCGGTGTTCGTGGGCTTTGTCGGTCCGTGCCTCGTCTCTCCCTGGAAAGGGAGGGAGGCTTCAACGTCGAGAGGGAGCCGCTGCCGCGTTAGTTCCGAGCTTGAAGTCACTAGGACTTCTCTCAAACTTGAGTGCTGAGGAGACTCAGATGTTGGCCTCAGCTCCTAGGCTGAACTCAGCAGATCGGCCCATGAAAACTTCTGTATTGAGACAAAGGAAGGGATCTGTCAGAAAGCAACACTTGTTATCTTGGGCTTGGCAGCAAGGAAGAGGACAGGTAGTGGAGATCCTGCAATCTGAAAAGCAGACTGAAAGGTGACAAAGAAGCTGAAGATGGGTGGTAGAGAGAGGTATAACATTCCAGCCCCTCAATCTAGAAATGTTAGTAAGAACCAACAACAGCTTAACAGACAGAAGACCAAGGAACAGAATTCCCAGATGAAGATTGTTCATAAGAAAAAAGAAAGAGGACATGGTTATAACTCATCAGCAGGTGCCTGGCAGGCCATGAAAAATGGGGGGAAGAACAAAAATTTTCCAAATAATCAAAGTTGGAATTCTAGCTTATCAGGTCCCAGCTTACTTTTTAAATCTCAAGCTAAACAGAACTATGCTGGTGCCAAATTTAGTGAGCCGCCATCACCAAGTGTTCTTCCCAAACCACCAAGCCACTGGGTCCCTGTTTCCTTTAATCCTTCAGATAAGGAAATAATGACATTTCAACTTAAAACCTTACTTAAAGTACAGGTATAAAATAAGACAAATGTTTAAGTTTAGTTATGTTCACAGATAGTTGTCAATTGGTCTGAAACAAATTTGCTAGGGAATCTATTTGTGTAGAACTAATTAATGTAAAAAAAATAGACTTCATCTCGTGTTGTGTGCACTGTGATATAATGGTAGTATCAGTGCAACTTAAACTAATGATTGTAATTGATATTAAGTGTTCTCAACTGAGTAACTTTTAAGTGGAAACCAAGTTTAGATTTGGGGAGTGGTAAAGGAATCAGCTTTTTCTATTGTTAGGGGAAGATAGTAATTTATCATTCATGGACCAGTAGATTGTTGAAAGTTGGTGAATCGGATTATAAGCTTCTGGCTAACACAAGGATTCAGAATTAGGTAAACATCTGAAGGTTTAGTATATTAGAAACACCCAAACCAGTAATATGCTAACCTGATGCACTGCTGAAAGAAAATGTGAATTTTTCGTAATAATTGCATTTTAGTGAATTGTACAGTGGGTGGAAAGGGCATTTGGAGCTCATTAGAATGAGACATAGTACACCCCAATGGCCCTGTTTATTAAATGTAGTGGATTAAGTGTCTGTCAACAAATACACCAAAACCATTTTTTATAGAAACAGTATTTAATGGTCACTCAATAGCTTTCAAAATACATTTTTGTATTACAGCACTGCACAAGCTATTCTAATAGTGATCTGGCCTCCTCATTCCTGCCAAGCTTGCTTTGGGGAGTTGGATAATGTGAAAATTTTAAGTACCTAGGGGAGAAAGAGCCATGTAAATATCTGTAATAAACTTGTAGCATATGTAAAGTTTTCTTGGCCTTTATCTTACAAAAATGGAATATTTTAGTATGAATTTGCTGAATGTAAGACCGTGGACTGTTTTTTATAATATGGCCTAATTTTAAAGGTCCAAAATAACTTGTTTTTAAAGTTTGCCCTTGTGCTAAAGTGCCAGTGTATGTATGTTATACTTGATTTGGTTGTAAACTATATTTCAAAGTAAACCCTAGTGTAATAAGTTTTATAACTAAAAAGGTTTAAGCTGCTAAAACTATTTTTAAGAGATGTGAAATGCAGTATGGGACTATCTTTTTTTCCTCCTCTAAGCCCAAAGATTAACTAGAGTCCCTCCAACCTTATAGATTTTTGGCTTTCACAATCTTATAACCTAGGATACAGGTAGTTTCGAGTATGGTGCCAGTGATGTTTTGTTTTTGTTTGGTCAAGGGGTAGGTGCAACCCAATGGACCACTTATGCAAAAGATGTAAACTCTTGCATAATACATCGATAACATGTTTTGCCAACTTTAAATGCTTAAACATAAGCGAAACCAGTAGCAAGTATGTGGGTCAGTTTAAAAATTTTGATTGTTAATGCCCTATTTTCTAATTTGGCACCTCTTTTGATGCCTAAGCAGGTAAGCAGATGCCTAAGCTGTATTTCTCCAAATAAATCAAGAGGAAGTACTGCCCAAGTTAAATATTGATAGCCTAAAGACAAATTCATGTAGTACTTAATGTACATGATATGAATTTGAAGCATAAAATTAAATTTTTCCCCATTGAAAAAAAAAAAAGTAAATTTCTAATTTTGATGAAGCCCAGTTAATCAATTATTTCTTTTCTTTTAGCATTCTATCTAAAAAATCTTTGCCTAACTCAAGATCACAAAGACTTTCTCTTATGTTTTCTTAATTTTTGTACACAGTATTAGGTATTAATGTTCATTTTTTTGGCATATGAATATCCAACTATTCCAACATCATCTGTTGAAAAGACTGTCCTTTCTCTACTGAATCCCTATCTTTGTTGAAACTCAATTGATGATATGCATGTGAGTCTATTTCTGCACTCTTTATTCTTCTTTTCACTGATCTATCTTGACATCAATATCATACTATTTTGATTACTATAACTTTTTTTTTTTTGAGGTGGAGTCTCACTCTGTCGCCCACGCTGGAGTGCAATGGCGCAATCTCACCTCACTACAACCTCTGACCCCAGGGCTCTAGTGATTCACCTACCTCAGCCTCCTGAGTAGCTGGGATTACAGATGCCCGCCACCAGGCCTGGCTAATTTTTTTCTACTTTTAGTAGAGACAGGGTTTCGCTATGCTGGCCAGGCTGATCTTGAACTCCCGACCTCAGGTGATCCACCCGCCTTGGCCTCCCAAAATGCTAGGATTACCGGCGTGAGGCAGCATGCTCAGCCTGATTACTACAACTTTATATTAAGTCTGCAAGTCAGGCAGTGTTAATCCTCCAACTGTGTCCTTCTTTTTCGAATATGTTTTTAGCTATTCCAGATGTTATGAATTTCTGAATAAATTTTAGAATCATCTTATCAATTACTACCAAAAAAGGCCTGCTGGGATTTTGATTGGGCTTTCTTTGATTCTATAGATTAATTTAGGGAAAATTGACATTTTAAGAATATTTCATCTTCTGATCCGTGAACAGTGTCTCTCTGCATTTATTTAGATCTTCTTAATTTCTCTCAGCAATGAAGATTAGGTATGGTAGATGCAGGCTATAAATCACAAATTGGAGGTTCATTCAAAAATACACACACACACACATTTTTAAATTTAATTTAATTTTAAGTTCTGGAATTCATGTGCAGGACATATAGGTTTGCTACATAGGTAAATGTGTGTCATGGTGGTTTGCTGCACCTATCAACCCATCACCTAGTAATTAAGCCCTGCATGCATTAGCTATTTATCCTGATGCTCTCTCCCTCCCCCTTCCCCCACTGGCAGGCCCCAGTGTGTGTTGTTCTCCTCCCTGTGTCCATGTGTTCTCATTGTTTGGCTCCCACTTATAAGTGAGAAAATGCAGTGTTTGTTTTTCTGTTCCTGTGTTAGTTTGCTAAGGATAATGGCTTCCAACTCCATCCATGGCCCTGAAAAGGAAAATATAAACATATATTTTGAAAACATAGTGTTGATTGAAAAAAGTACAAAATGATGAGATGTATGGCACAATAACGTATAAAAATTTAAGATGAACATATAACCCTTAAAATTATATTTTTTCACAAATATTTTGCACAAATATTTGAAGACAGGAAAAAGTACATTAGAATGAATGACTTTGTGGTATGGAAAGGGAGGGAATGGAAGTCAGAATCTGGGTTGAAGGAAAAACAAAAGAGGGACCTTGCAGGAACATGAAAATAATGCACCAAGAAGTGAGTATGGTTAACAACCTTCTATAAACCTGTAAACCAAAAGTATTAATAATATTGTATACTATGTAGTGTTTTTGTAGACCCTACTGTATATTATACATAGACAATCATGTCATCTGCAAATAAAGACAGTTTTGCTTCTTCCTTTCCAATCTGAGTGTCTTTTATTTCCTTGTCTTGCCTTATTGCACTGACTGGAACCTCTAGCACAATATTGAATAAAAGCAATGAAAACAGGCAATCTTTGCCTTGTTCTTGGTCTTAAAGGGAAAGCATTAAGTCTTCCACCATTGAGTTTGATGTTAGCCATTGGCTTACATAGATGTTCTCTGTCAGGTTGGGGAAGTTCTTTGCTGTTTTTGAGTTTTTTTAATCAGAAAAAGGTGTTAGATTTTATCAGATGTTTCCTCATCATTTATTGAGATAATATTTTATTGGATTTTCTTTGTTAGTCTTTAGTAAGATAAATTACATTGATTGATTTTCAAATGTTAAATCAAACCCTGCATTCTAGGGATAAACACTACTTGGTAATGTTGTATTATTCTTTTAATGTATTGTTGGATTCACTTTGCTAAAAATGTGTTAAAAATTTTTGCATTTCTGTTCATGATGGATGTCGGTCTATAGTGTTTTTTTCTTGAAATATCTTTGTCTGGTTGACGTATCAAAGTAATGCCAGGCTTACAGAGTCATTTGGAAAGTATTCCTTTTACTTCAACTTTCTGGGAGAGTTTGCATGGAATTGATATTACTTCTTCATTTTACATTTGATAGAATCCCCTCAGAAGTCATTTTGGCATTGAGTTTTCTTTGTGGGAAGGTTTTCAACCATAACTTCAATTTCTTCAATAGATATTGGACGATTGAATACCACTTTCTTCTTGAATAATCTTTGGTCATTTGTGTCTTCAAGAAATTTGTTCATTTCATCTAAGTTGTCAAATTTATTGGCATAAAGTTGTTGAAAATACTTCCTTATTGTCTTTTCAATATCTGTAGAATCAATAGTGCTATACCCTTTCTCATTACTGATATTGGTAATTTGTGTCTTCTTAATTTCCTGATGAGTCTGGCCAGAATTTTATCACTCTTATTGAGTAGTTTTGTTTCTTAGACTTTGGTACTATAGGGAGGATCAACATTTTTATTAAACAAACAAATATAAAGCTTTGAACCTGTTGAAGTATCAATCAGACTAAGTTGGCTACTATTTTATGGCATGCTTTCCCACCCTTTCTCTGCCAGACCCAATCTATTCCTCTACTCCTTGCCCAAATCTAGGTATAGCAATTCAAACAGGTTTTAAACCTTTGCTAGCAGAACCTTCACAGACTTTTTCAGTGATAATTCTGTTAAACTGATAAAATAGCACTGCTACCTAGCATAGTGATGGTTTAAAGCAACCTGCTATACTTCCGCCCTCACAAATCAATACCATTTCTCCCTACTACTTGATCAAAGCAACTAGAGGTGAATGGGATGTGAGGTGTAGAAGAGACACTTCCCAGAGTTGTGGCCACAGAGAAGCAAGAGTGCCAGGCCCAGGAGTGGATAAATTGAAAAGGAGTCAACATTGCCCTTTACTTATAATTTTTGTAACCTATTATTGTGTAAGACTGCAAGTTGTTAAGCAGGAAATAGTGGGCAATTCTTCACACTGTAAGCCAAGAAAAGATGGAAAAAGAATAAAGATAGGTTATAGAAGCTGTTCATTATCCTGTGTGTAATTAACAGTTGTCATCAAGGTTTCTAATCATGGAAATGATAGTATCCAACCTATATTTTCAGGAAGTCCTCTCTGGGGATAGTGTGGAGAAGCGGCTGAAAGGGTCCAGGACTGGAAAAGAAAGACTATTTAGGAGGATATTTGTATGACTCAAACTTGGATCAAAACTGATTAGCAGTGGGCTATTCATTAAGTATAGAGTGAAGGTAAATACAGGAAAGAGGACTGTTTAGGGGATCTCTCATTGCTTATACATTTGCTGGCAGGACTTCATAGAACCATAAAATATATCCCGTCAAATGCATACTAAATGTTTCCTCCAATTCAACTTCCACCTAGCTAGATAACAAAATACTCACAGCCATACCAATGTCATCTGTCATGAGGGCAAGTGTGATGGAGGTTGAATTAGAGTAGAAAGAAACTGCAGTTTTATCTTACTCTCACAAATAATGCAAAATCATTTGAGCATAAGAACTCATTGTTGGGCTCTCTCTCAGGGCCATATAAAGGCTTTGTGCTAGTGAAGGGCCCTGGAAATAAGCTTCATAAACATGACGGTAAGTTCATTTTGCCTGAATTTTACAATAGCATCCTAACTGGCCTCCCAATCCATTTTCCATATAGTAGCCAGAGTAATCTTAAAAGACAAACTAGATGACATCAGCAAGATGACAAAATAGAGGTCCCCAGCCTACACACACACCCTACACACACACACACACACACACACAAAACCACTTAAATATTTGGCAGCTATTTATAGACAAAGTGTCTTTGTAGGAGTTTGGGGATCTGGGCAGAAGGTTGCAAAGCCCTGGTGGCGCCCAAGACTCGGGAGGGCTGCTTTGAGAAGGCAAGCCAGCACATTGGTGACAATTCCACTGGCCATAGTTCCAGCTGTGGGCTGAAGGAGCTCCATCCCTCTATGAACTCAGCTCCAGCCCCCCTTGTTCACAGTCCTGACACCAGCCCCTTCCACCAAGGGACCCAGGAGAAGTCACATCCATTCATGCTCCCCATAACAAGCCTGCCAAACTTGAACCTGATTGTAGTCCCTGGAGCAGTTAAATGACCTGGCTTCAGCCCACTCTATCATTGTCCATGGCAGTCTTGCCCACCCAGAGACCTGCTCAGGAACCTAATGGAAGCCACACCAAAAAACAACCAGGTAACAGACCTGACAACTTTGGATCCAACTGTGGTTACTGAAGCAGTCCTGTGACCTGGCTTCAATTCCATTCTACTGAAGTTCAGAGGAAGTCCTGATCACCCAGAGACCAGCCCAGCTACCTAACAGGAGCATATTTAGAGACTCAAAGAAGCCATACCTCAACATGTTCCTGGTAACCAGGCTTGCCAACCACAGACCTGACAGTGAATCTGGAAACAGCCATGAGACCTGGCTCTAGCCCCACCTAACTACAATCCTGGAGTTAGTTCATCCAGGAACACGGCAGGAAAAAATCTTTACCTACTGAAATCAGTTTTATAAAGACAGGAATAAGTGTCTTCTTCAAATGCATAGACACCAATGCAAGACTACACAGATCATGATGAATTAGGCAAACATGACTGCAGCAAAGGAAACTAATAAAGTGCCAGTAATAAACCATAAAGAAATGGAGACCCATGAAATCTTTGACAAAAAATTAAAAGTAATCTTAAAGAAGCTGAAAGAGCTGCAAGAGAACACAGATAGATGACTAAACAAAAATAAAAAAAAAATACATGAGCAAAATTAGAAGCTTAACAAAGAAATAGAAACCATAAAAAAGAACCAAACAGAAATGCTGGAGCTGAAGAGTACAATGACTGAACTAAAAAATTCAATAGAAAGCTTAACAGTAGACTCTCTCATGCAAAAGAAAGAATCAGTACCTTAAAGACAGGTCATTTGAAATTATTCAATTAGAGGAATGAAAAGAAAAAGGAATGAAAAAGAGTGAGGAATGTCTACACGACCTCTGAGACACCATCAGGCAAACCAATATACACATTATGTGAGTCCCAGAAGGATTAGAGAATGAGAAAGTAGAAGAAAAATATTTAGACATAATGACAGAAAACTTTCCATGTTTGGGGAAATGAATATCCAGATCATGATGCCTAGAGAACCTCAAATAGACTGAACATCAAGAGGTCTTTACTGAACCACATTGTAATCAAACTGTCAAAAGTCAAGAGGAAGGAAGGAAGATAGGAAGGAAGGAAAGTGGGAGGGAGGGATGGACTAATTAATTGGAAATGACTTATCAACCATAAGGGAACCACCATAAAACTATCAGAAGATTTCCTAGCAGAATCCTTGCATGCCAGAAAATATTGGAATAATATATTGTAAGTGTTGAAAGAAAAAAATACTGCCAATCAAGAATATCATATGTAGCAAAGCTATCCTTAAGAAATGAGAGATAAAGACTTTCCCAGACAAACAAAAGCTGAGGGAATTAATCACCACTAGACATGACTTACAAGAAATCCTAAAGGGAGTTCTTCAAGTTTAAATGAAAGGACATTATCAACATGAAAGTACACAATTCACTGGTAAAGGGAAGTATATAGTCATTTTCAGAATATTGTAATATTGTAATAGTAGTACACCTTTAACTCTAGTATAAAAGTTAAACGAAAAAAGTATCAAAATCACTATATCTACAATGATTTGTTAATGAACACATAATATAATAAGATGGAATCTGTTACTTCAATAACATAAAATGTTTGGGGGGAGTAAAAATGTGGAGTTTTTGTATTCAATTGAAATTAAGTTGTTATCCAGTTAAAATATACTATTGTAACTATGAGATGTTTTATGTAAGCTTCATGATAATCACAAGGAAAAAAATCTGTAGTCAATACACAAAGGATAAAGAGGAAAGAATCAAAGTGCACCACTAGATATACATTATCAAATCTCAAAGGAAGACAGCAAGAAAGAAAAAAAGGAACAAGAGAACTGCAAAACAGTCAGAAAACAATTAACAAAATGGCAATGGTAAGTCCTTGCTTAATAATTACTCTAAAAGTGAGTAGATTAAATTCTTCATTCAAAAGATGTAGGACTCCATTCCAAGATGGCTGAATAGGAACAGCTCCAGTCTGCAGCTCCCAACATGATAAACACAGAAGACAGGTGATTTCTGCATTTCCAACTGAGGTACCTGGTTCATCTCACTGGGACTGGTTGGACAGTGGGTGCAACCCACAGAGGGCGAGCCGAAGCAGGGCAGGGCATTGCCTCACCCAGGAAGTGCAAGGGTGAGGGGATTTCCCTTTCCTAGCCAAGGGAAGCTATGACAGACTGTACCTGGAAAAACAGGACACTTCCACCCAAATACTGCCGTTTTCCCACAGTCTTAGCAACCAGCAGACCAGGAGATTCTCATGCCTGGCTCAGTGGGTCCCACACCCATGGAGCCTTGCTCACGGCTAGTGCAGCAGCCTGAGATCAACCTGCCAGGCTGTAGCCAGGTGGGGGGAGGGGCATCTGCCATTGCTGAGGCTTGAGTAGGTAAACAAAGTAGTTGGGAAGCTTGAACTGGGTGGAGCCCACTGCAGCTCTGCAAGGCCTACTGCTTCTATAGACTTCACCTCAGTGGGCAGGGCATAGCTGAACAAAAGTCAGCAGAAACTTCTGCAGACTTAAACCTCCCTGTCTGACAGCTCTGAAGAGAGCAGTGGTTCTCCCAGCAGAGCATTTGAGCTCTGAGAATGGACAGGCTGCCTACTCAAGTGGGTGCCTGACCCCGTGTAGTGTAACTGGGAAACACCTCCCAGTAGGGACCAACAGACAACTCATACAGGTGGGTGCCCATTTGGGATGAAGCTTCCAGAGGAAGGATCAGGCAGCAATATTTGCTGTTCTGCAGCCTCCGCTGGTGATACCCAGGAAAACAGAGTCTGGAGTGGACCTCCAGGAAACTCCAACAGACCTGCAGCTGAGGGACCTGTTAGAAGGAAAACTAACAAACAGAAAGGAATAGCATCAACATCAACAAAAAGGACATCCACACCAAAACCCCTTCTGTAGGTCACCAACATCAAAGACCAAAGGTAGATAAAACCACAAAGATGGGGAGAAACCAGAGCAGAAAAGATGAAAATTCTAAAAACCAGAGCACCTCTTCTCCTCCAAAGAATCACAGCTCCTTGCCAGTGATGGAACAAAGCTGGACGAAGAATGACTTCGATGAGTTGACAGAAGTAGGCTTCAGAAGGTCGGTAATAACAAACTTCTCCGAGCTAAAGGAGCATGTTCTAACCCATTACAAGGAAGATAAAAACCTTGAAAAAAGGTTAGATGAATGGCTAACTAGAATAAACAGTGTAGAGAAGATCTTAAATGACCTGACAGAGCTGAAAACCATGGCATGAGAATTTCAGGACACATGCACAAGCTTCAGTAGCCAATTCGATCAAGTGGAAGAAAGGATATCATTGATTGAAGATCAAATTAATGAAATAAAGTGAGAAGACAAGTTTACAGAAAAAAGAGTAAAAAGAAATGAACAAAGCCTCCAAGAAATATGGGACTATGTGAAAAGACCAAATCTACGATTGATTGGTGTACCTGAAAGTGACAGGGAGAATGGAACCAAGTTGGAAAACACTCTGCAGGATATTAACCAGGAGAACTTCCCCAACTTAGCAAGGCAGGCCAACATCCAAATTCAAGAAATACAGAGAACACTACAAAGATACTCCTCGAGAAGGGCAACTCCAAGACACATAGTTATCCAATTCACTAAGGTTGAAATGAAGGAAAAAATGTGAAGGGCAGACAGAGAGAAAGGTCGGGTTACCCACAAAGGGAAGCACATCAGACTAACAGTGGATCTCTCAGCAGAAACCCTACAAGCCAGAAGAGAGTCAGGGCCAATATTCAACATTCTTAAAGAAAAGAATTTTCAACCCAGAATTTCATATCCAGCCAAACTAAGCTTCATAAGTGAAGGAGAAATAAAATCCTTTACAGAAAAGTGAATGCTGAGAGATTTTGTCACCACCAGGCCTGCCTTACAAGAGCTCCTGAAGGAAGCACGAAACATGGAAAGGAACAACAGGTACCAGTCACTGCAAAAAACATGCCAAATTGTCAAGACCATTGATGCTATGAAGAAATTGCATCAATTAATGGGCAAAATAACCAGCTAATATAATGACAGGATCAAATTCACACATAACAATATTAACCTTAAATGTAAATGGGCTAAATACTCCAATTAAAAGACACAGACTGGCAGATTGGATAAAGAGTCAAGACCCATCAGTATGCTGCATTCATGAGACCCATCTCATGTGCAGAGATACATATAGGCTCAAAATAAAGGGATGGAGGAAGATCTACCAAGCAAATGGAAAGCAAAAAAAGCAGGGGTTGCAATCCTAGTCTCTGATAAAACAGACTTTAAACCAACAAAGATCAAAAGAGACAAAGAAGGCCATTACATAATGGTAAAGAGATCAATTCAACAAGAAGAGCTAACTATCCTAAATATATATGCACCCAATACAGGAGCACCCAGATTCATAAAGCAAATCCTTAGAGACCTACAAAGAGACTTAGACTCCCACACAATAATAATGGGAAACTTAAACATCCCACTGTCAATATTAGATCAATGAGATGGAAGGTTAACAAGGATATCCAGGACTTGAACTCAGCTCTGCGCCAAGCAGAACTAATAGACATCTACAGAACTCTCCACCCCAAATCAACAGATATACGTTCTTCTCAGCACCACATCGCATATATTCTAAAATTGACCACATAATTGGAAGTAAAGCACTCCTCAGCAAATGTAAAAGAATAGAAATCACAACAAACTGTCTCTCAGACCACAGTGCAATCAAATTAGACCTCTGGATTAAGAAACTCACTCAAAACCACACAACTACATGGAAACTGAACAACCCGCTCCTGAATGACTACTGGGCAAATTACAAAATGAAGGCAGAAATAAAGATGTTCTTTGAAACCAATGAGAACAAAGACACAACGTACCAGAATCTCTGGCACACATTTAAAGCAGTGTGTAGAGGGAAATTTATAGTACTAAATGCCCACAAGAGAAAGCAGAAAAGATCTAAAATCTACACCATAACATCACAATTAAAAGAACTAATGAAGCAAGAGCAAATTCAAAAGCTAGCAGAAGGCAAGAAATAACTAAGATCAGAGCAGAACTGAAGGAGATAGAGACACAAAAAACCCTTCAAAAAATCAATGCATCCAGGAGCTGGTTTTTTGAAAAGATAACAAAATTGATAGACTGCTAGCAAGGCTAATAAAGAAGAAAAGAGAGAAGAATCAAATAGATGCAATAAAAAATGATAAAGGGGATATCACCACTGATCCCACAGAAATACAAACTACCATCCAAGAATACTATAAACACCTCTACACACATAAAGTAGAAAATCTAGAAGAAATTGATAAATTCCTGGACACATACACCCTCACGAGACTAAACCAGGAAGAAATTGAATCTCTGAATAGACCAATAATGGGCTCTGAAATTGAGGCAATAATTAAGAGCATACCAACCAAAAAAAGTCCAGGTCCTGACGGATTCACAGCCAAATTCTACCAGGGGTACAAAAAGTTGCTGGTACCATTCCTTCTGAAACTATTCCAATCAGTAGAAAAAGAGAGAATCCTCCCTAACTCATTTTATGAGGCCAGCATCATCCTGATACCAAAGCATGGCAGAGACACACTCACACAAAAAAGAGAATTTTAGACCAATATCCCTGATGAACATCGATGCAAAAATCCTCAATAAAATACTGGCAAACCAAATCCAGCAGCACATCAAAAAGCTTATCCACCATGATCAAGTCGGCTTCATCCCTGGGATGCAAGGCTGGTTCAATATATGCAAATCAATAAACAATCCATCACATAAGCAGAACCAATGACAAAACCCACATGATTATCTCAACAGATGCAGAAAAGGCCTTCAACAAAATTCAACAGTTTTCATGATAAAACTCTCAATAAACTAGGTATTGATGGAATGTGTCTCAAAATAATAAGAGCTATTTATGACAATCCCACAGCCAATATCATACTGAATGGGCAAAAACTGGAAGCATTTCCTTTGACAACCAGCGCAAGACAAGGATGACTTCTCTCACCACTCCTATTCAACATAGTGTTGGAAGTTCTGGCCAGGGCAATCAGGCAAGAGAAAGAAATAAAGGGTATTTAACTAGGAAATGAAGAAGTCAAATTATCCCTGTTTGCAGATGACATGATTGTATATTTAGAAAACCCCATTGTCTCAGCCCAAAATTTCCTTAAGCTGATAAGCAACTTCAGCAAAGTCTCAGGATACAAAATCAATATGCAAAAATCACAAGCATTCCTATATACCAAAAACAGAGAAACAGAGAGCCAACTCATGAGTGAACTCCCATTCATAATTGCTACAAAGAGAATAAAATTCCTAGGCATCCAACTTACAAGGGATGTGAAGGACCTCTTCATGGAGAACTACAAACCACTGCTCAACAAAATAAAAGAGGACACAAACAAATGGAAGAACGTTCCATACTCATGGTTAGGAAGAATCAATATTGTGAAAATGGCTATACTGCCCAAAGTAATTTATAGATTCAATGCCATCCCCATCAAGCTACCAATGACTTTCTTCACAGAATTGGAAAAAACTACTTTAAAGTTCATATGGAACCAAGAAAGAGCCCGCATTGCCAAGACAATCCTAAGAAAAAAGAACAAAGCTGGAGGCATCATGCTACCTGACTTCAAGCTATACTACAAGGCTACAGTAACAAAAACAGCGTGGTACTGGTCCCAAAACAGATATACAGACCAATGGAACAGAACAGAGGCCTCAGAAATAACACTACACATCTACAACTATCTGATCTTTGACAAACCTGAGAAAAACAAGAAATGGGGAAAGGATTCCCTATTTAATAAATGGTGCTGGGAAAACTGGCTAGCCATATGTAGAAAGCTAAAACTGGATCCCTTCCTTACACCTTATACAAAAATTATTTCAAGATGGATTAAAGACTTAAATGTTAGACCTACAACCATAAAAACCATAGAAGAAAACCTAGGCAATACCACTCAGGACGTAGGCATGGGCAAGAACTTCATGACTAAAATACCAAAAGCAATGGCAACAAAAGCCAAAATAGACAAATGAGATCTAATTAGACTAAAGAGCTTCTGCACAGCAAAAGAAACTACCATCAGGGTGACCATGCAACCTACAGAATGGGAGAAAATTTTTGCAATCTACTCATCTGACAAAGGGCTAATATCCAGAATCTACAAAGAACTTAAATAAATTTACAAGAAACAAACAACCCCATCAAAAAGTGGGCAAAGGATATGAACAGACACTTCTCAAAAGAAGACATTTATGCAGCCAACAGACACATGAAAAAATGCTCATCATCACTGGTCATCAGAGAAATGCAAATCAAAACCACAATGAGATACAATCTCATGCCAGTTAGAATGTCAGTCATTAAAAAGTCAGGAAACAACAGGTGCTGGAGAGGACGTGGAGAAATAGGAACGCTTTTACACTGTTGGTGGGAGTGTAAACTAGCGCAACCATTGTGGAAGACAGTGTGGTGGTTCCTCAAGGATCTAGAACTAGAAATACCTTTTGACCCAGTGATCCCATTACTGGGTATGTTCCCAAAGGATTATAAATCATGCTACTATAAAGACACATGCACACATGTGTTTATTGCGGCACTATTCACAATGGCGAAGACTTGGAACCAACTCAAACGTCCATCAATGATAGACTGGATTAAGAAAATGTGGCACATATACACCATGGAATACTATGCATCCATAAAAAAGGATGAGTTCATGTCCTTTGCAGGGACATGGATGAAGCTGGAAACCATCATTCTCAGTAAACTATCACAAGGACAGAAAACTAAACACCACATGTTCTCACTTATAGGTGGGAACTGAACAATGAGAACATGTGGACACAGGGCAGGGAACATCACACACCAGGGCCTGTCGTGGGGTGGGGGTTGGGGGAGGGATGGCATTAGGAGAAATACCTAATGTAAATGAGGAGTTGATGGGTGCAGCAAACCAACATGGCACATGTATACCTATGTAACAAACCTGCATGTTGCGCACAGGTACCCTAGAACTTAAAGTATAATAATAATTTTAAAAAAGATGTAGAGTGACACCTGCCCTCATATGTTTATGACAGCACTATTCACGATAGCAACATCATAGAACCAACCTAAGTGTCCATCAGCAGGTTGACTGGATAAAGAAAATGTGGTTCATATACACCATGGACTATTATGCAACCATAAAAAAGAATGAAATCATATCCTTTGCAGCAACATGGATGGAGCTGGATGCTATTATCCTAGGTGAACTATCCCAGAAGCAGAAAATTGAGTATCGCATATTCTCGCTTATAAATGTGAGCTTAACATTGAGTACACATGGACATAAAGATGGAAATGATAGATATGGGGGACTCCAAAAGAGGGGAGGAAGTGAGGGGAGTGAGGGTTAAAAGATTACCTATTGGATACAATGTTCAATATTTGGGTGACGAGTACACTAGAAACCCAATCCCCATCATTAGGCAATATATCCATGTAACAACCATGCACATATACCCCTGAATCTAAAATAAATAAATAAATATTTGATGAATTGTAACTAAAAAATATATAGAGAATGAATAGCTAGAAAGAATAAGATCATCTGGGTGCAATGGCTCATGCCTATAATCCCAGTGCTTTGGAAGGCCAATGCAGGAGGATTGCTTGAGCCCAGGAGTTTAAGACCAGTCCTGGAAACATAGCAAGATCCTGTCTCCATAAAAAATTTAAAAATTAGCCAGAAGTGATGGTGCACATCTGTGGTTTCAATTACTCAGGAGGCTGAGGTGGCAGGATCGCTTGAGCCCGGGAGGTTGAGGCTACAGTGAGCTGAAATCATGTGACTGCACTCCAGCCTGGGTGACACAAAAAGACCTTGCCTCTAAAAAAAAAAAAAATTTGTTTTTGAGACGGATTCTTGCTCTGCTGCCCAGGCTGGAGTGCAATGGCACAATCTCGGCTCACTGCAAGCTCTGCCTCCTGGGTTCAAGTGATTCTCCTGCCTCAGCCTCCTGAGTAGCTGGGACCATAGGCATGTGCCACCATGCCTGGCTAATTTTTGTATTTTTAGTTGAGATGAAGTTTCACCATGTTGGCCAGGCTGGTCTTGAACTCCTGACCTCAGTGATCTGCTCGCCTCAGCCTCCCGAAGTGCTGGGATTACAGGCATGAGCCACTGCACCCAGTCAAAAAAGTTTTTTAAAGAATAAGATCAACTATATGCTATTTATAAGGGATTAACTTTAGATTTAAAAACATACATAAGCTGAAAGGGAAAAGTTGGAAAAATATAGAAATGGTAACTGAAAGGTGACTAAACTTAGACACAATAGACTTTAAGTCAAAAGCTGTCACAAAAGACAAAGAAGGTCATTATATGCTGATAAAGGCATCAATTCATCAAGAGGATATACTAATCATAAATATATGTGCATCCAACAATGGAACACCTAAATATGTAAAACAAATATTAACATAAATGAAAGGAAAAGTAGATAGCAATACAATAGTAGTGGGGGATTTCAATACTTGATTTTCAACAATGGATAGATCATCTAGACAAAATCAATAAGAAAATAGCAAAGTTGAACAACACTATAGACCAAATGGACCTAAGAAACATACAGAAAATTTTATTCAACAGCAACAGAATATACATTCTTTTCAAGCACATGCAGAACATCCTCCAGGATAGATCATCTGTTAGCCCACAAAACAAGGCTTAACAAATTTAGGACGTTTGAAATATATCAAGTATCTTTCCCAACAATAATGGTATGGAACTAGAAATCAATAACAGAAGAAAAATTGAAAAATTCACAATATGGGGAAATTAAACAACATACTCCTGAACAAGTAATAGGTCAAAGAAGAAATCAAAATGGAAATCAAAAAATACATTGAGACAAACAAATATGAAAACACAACATATCAAAATTTATGGGATGCAGCAAAAGCAATTTTAAGAAGGAAGTGTATGGTGATAAATGCCTATGTGAAGAAAATAAAGATCATAAATAAACAACCTAACTTTATACATCCAGGAACTTGAAAAAGAAAAGTAAACTAAGCCCAAAGTTAGCAGAAGAAAGGAAATAATAGAGTAGGACAGAAATAAATCAAATAAAGAGAAAACATAGAAAATATCAATGAAACTAAGTTGGTTGTTTTAAAAGATAAACAAAATTGGTAAACCTTTAACCAGACCACAAAAATGAAGAAACTAAAATAAATAAAATCAGAAATGAAAGAGGAGACATTAGAACTAATACAAAGGACCATAAGAGACCACTATGAATATTTATACATCAACAAATTAGATAACACAGAAGAAATGAATAAATTCCTGGAAACATACAACCTACCAAGACTGAATCATGAAGAATTAAAAAACCTGAACAGACCAATAACAAGTGAATCTTTTTTACCGAGTAGTAGATCTCAACAGTGGGCTTAAAATATTAAATAAACCATGATATAAACAGATGTGCTGTCATCCAGGCTTTATTGTTCCACTTATAGAGCACAGGCAGGGTAAATTTAGCATAATTCTCAATGATCACCAGATTTTCAGAATGGCAAATGGGCATTGGTTTCAACTTAGTCACCAGCTGCATTAGGCCCTAACAAGAGAGTTGCCCTGTCCTTCGAAGCTTTGAAGCCAGGCATTGATTTCTTCTCTCTAGCTATGTAAGTCCTAGATGGCATCTTCTTACAATTCTGTTGGAAGGCTGTATTATCTGCATTGAAAATCTATTATTTGGTACAGCCGCTTTCATTAATTATCCTAGCTAGAGCTTCTGGATCACTTGCTATAGCTTCTACATAAGCATTTACTGCTTCACCTTGTACTTTTATGTTGTGGAGGTGGCTTCTTTCCTTAAACCTCATTAACCAACCTCTGCTAGCTTCAAACTTTTCTTCTGCAGCTTCCTCACATCTCTCAGCCTTCATAGAATTGAAGAGAGTTAGGGTCTTGTTCTGGATTAAGCTTTGGCTTAAGGGAAATGTTGCGGTTGGTTTGATCTTCTATCCAGAACACTAAAACTTTTTCTACATCAGCAGTAAGGCTGTTTCACTTTCTTATCATCTATGTGTTCACTGGAATAGCACTTTTAATTTTCTTCAAGAACTTTTCCATGCCCCTGGGCTGGCTTTATCTGCTGAGAGGTGGAGGCCTGGAGAACTGCGTAGCCCTCTGTAGCCATTTGCAGCAGCCCTTGTAGGAAGGGAGAAACGGTGAGGTGGGGGAAGGGCTAGATTTTCTGAATCTCATTGGCCTGGCTCCTGAGCCAGAGGTGGGGTGGGGTTGGGTGGAGAGAGAAAGCAGCCACAGCACACATTGCTGAGCCCAGATGGTGGATTCATGAGAACCATTTAATTGCCCACAGAGAGAGGACATCTCACTTTGGCAGAGGACAGGCTAATCAGAAGCAGCCCCCAGCCTCTCCTCCCTTCTTCTCTCCCTCCCTTTGTGAATTCAGCTTGATGGATACAAGGAAAGGCTCCAGCACTTTGATACCTAGCCACACTGCCCAGCCTCAGCATGGGACTTTCCGAAACAACTCAGGGATTTTTTTTACTGGGAGGAGGGAAGGGAATTTCCCGTGTAAGCTCACCTTGGCCATGCCCCCCCACCCATCATGAACCAAACTAGCCCAGCTCTCCCTACACCCAGCCAGAAAACTTTTTTTTTCTTTGTGACAAAAGGATTCATGCTGGGAATACTCTCTTAAAAAAAGCAAGTGGGATTAGACACAGCTTGGGGTTCAGGAGGTAAACAGATCAGGTTGCCAATGAAATAAGTCAGGCATCTATCATTTCACAGAGTGCCTCTATCATATAAGAACTGCATGACCTCAGGAAAGCCAAATAACCACCATGAGGTTTAGGTTCCTCCTCTACAAAATGAAGATGAAGATACCTACCTGATGGGACCTGAATGGGATGCCTGGTGCTCATTCAGGGCATTATTTTCCCTCCCAGGCTGATGGGATGCTAAGACCAAAGATTAGGCTCAGTTTTATAGTCCTCCTCGGCCAAAAGTTGTGTTGTTCAATATATAGATTTTTCTGCCACCTCCTTTACTATCTGGTTCCTCGTTTTGTTTTTTCTACTGTGTCAATTCTATTATCCTTATTATTCCTATGATTTTTATTGTAAAGTCTTTATAATCCAACCAGGATGGTTGATTGAAAGGACAGGTTGAAACCACAGTGGATTTTGTAACACCAGATGGGCTTCTGAAACATGTTGCATGCAAATTGTCATCTTGAGCAGAGAATCATATTTAAATATGATTCAAATAGGACTAGGTCTGGTATGGTCCAGCTTTTTTTTTTTTTTTTTTTTTTAACCTTCAGCAACTGACAGGTGTTTTCAGAAACTTCTAGTCCTGTCCCTGGGACCCTGCTATTATTCTTTGACTGTGGCCATGGGACTCCCCCACCCCCAGCCATTCCTCAGAAAAAAAGATGGCTGAGAGCCCCTCCCCTCTCCTGTCGACATGGTGGCAACCTAATGCCTGAAGCGATGGTCTCTATCCAGTCCCAGAACATCATTAGCCCCCTTTTCTCATTGCTGAGATAGGTTTGAAGGCTGGACTGGTGAGAGTGAGGTGGGGAAAACAATATATATCTTCTTTTCTCTCTAGCTCATCCACTTACTCCCACATTCCTTCTCTCTTAAAGTGTCCCTACCCCTCTGAAGCCTGGGAAGAGGATTTGAAGTGCGCTCCAGAGTAGTCATCTATCGACTTGACCTTCAGCCTCAACCTGCCAGAGCGAGTGTGGACGGGGGCAAACCGGCCCATACCAGACCTGGTCCTGGGATCACAAGAGCTAGGTTCTGTTCCAGCCCCAGCCTCACAAACTGTGTGCTACCGGAGAAGTCACTTATCCACTGTGTGTGCTCACTGTTTGCTTAACCCTCAAATCAGTGGGAAGACAAATGACTCCAGGCTGTCCAGGGAAATGTGGGAATTGAGAGTGGCCACTAGGTGGCAGTACTCAGAAAGACACGGTGCGGGAGCCCCTGACAGACATGAGGGCTCTGAAGCGCTTTAGCCTCAGAGACAGATGCCCAGGTTCAGCCTGAGGAGAAAGCCGCGACTTCCCTCGCCCAGTAAACGCATTTACCCTTCCGCGCCCCCTGCTGCAGCCGTGGGAATCGGTGCACGCCCCTCCTCCTCCCTCTCCGGCTGACCGTAGGCATCCTTTAAGACCCTGGTGAAGCTCTCCCTGACAAAGCCTCTCTCCCCACTTCTCAGGGCGAATCCTTGTCACCTCTGTCTCCCCGCCGTCCTTAATCCACACCTTGATCAGGACACCACTCTAGAGAGCTATCATTCCCCTGTCTGTCTCCCTGTGAAGTTCTGGAGAGCAGACATCAAGTTTCCTTCACCTCTGTCTCCCCAGTGCCCGACATGGGACTGGCACAGTGCCTGCTGCTATGTATTTGTCTTCCGGATGAATGAGTTCATGAATAGAGCTTGAGAAGATCAAATTAACCCCTTTGCAATGACTTTCGATCTCCTTTTTTTTTTGGTAACTCAGTATTGAGTTATGCTTTTCTTGATTTTGATCAGCAAATATTACTTTGGTGGGGTTTTAAGCATCTCTTAGCTGTGAGTCTCTTGGTTCAAACAAAAACCTATGACAACCTAAATATATAAAATGAATAAAAGTAGAGCTACTTGATTTGAAGCTGGGTGGGAAGGCCTGGAGTCTATACTGCTCCTACCTCCATCCCCTGGTTGGTTAGGGAAGCCCCCCCTTAGAATCTGAGGGCTCTGTAAACAAGTTTTTTAAGCACCACCTTGGTTGTCGTATCAGTTCTTCTTCTATTTATCTCCAGTTTCCAGAAAAGCTAAATGCCTGGGGAAGGACTGAGTTTCTTGAGGGCAGGAGCTGTGTTTCCTATCACAAGGCAGCCAGGGGGACAGTGCATTCAAAGGGTGTTTGACTCGCTAATGAAGTTGAGTTGAATTATAATAATAGGGTTCAAAGACGAATATTGCTTTAGAAGTTGGAAAGAAGTGGCCTTTCCTGGCTTTCCCCCAAAGGAGACATGGGAAGGTGACTAAGGAGCTGGCTGGCTTGACCATCACCTCTGAAGGACTCCTGAGTTAAGTCGTTGTAATCTCTGAATCAGAGGGGCCTAGGAGTGGCCAAGTGGTCAACAGCTCTTGCTTCAGAACTGGATGATTCAATCCATGCTGTAGCTTCAATTTATCTGTGTGCTCCACTGGGTTAGTGTAAGGCAATGCAAATACTGAAAGCTCCAATAAATCACTGTTATATTGAAAAATCTTAGTTAGAAGGTGCTACTGGATTGAGCTAGGCTGATCAAGGAAGTCTTCCTCTAGCATTTGTGATGGAGAGCTCACTCCTGTGAGGGGCAGCATGGGCCATTGCCAGAGGGGACTCCCTTATAGTCAGCCTCTATCTTCAACCTCATCTCTGATGGCTCTTCCCCTCTCCACATAAATGTGCTCAGGTCTCTCAATGTCCTTAAAAAAATTCCACCCTCAACTGGCACCTCTTTATAAATCTGTCCTTTCTTCACAGCCAAGAGTCTTGATAGACCAGCCCATGTTCTGTCTCCACTTCCTCTCCTCCCGCTCCCCCTCAGCTCCCTGCAATCTGGCTTGTGTTCTCACCACTCCATTGACCTGCTCTTGACTGGATCAAAACTGCCCTGGTATTGTGAAGTTCGATACTTGAACACTGATGGCTTTTTACTTACAACTCTTGCATTTATTTTTCATGCCAACTCTCTGCTGGTTTCTTTCCTCCTTCTTTGGCTGCTTCTTCTCAACTTTCTTCTCGGTTTGAGCCCCAACGAACCCTCCATCTTCTTTTCATTTTATCCCAGCACTCTCCCTGGGCCATCTCATCCATGTCTTCAGTCACTAATATTATCTTTTACGTTATCATCAGCAGTAGCATCAGGCCTTTTTGCTTGTCTCCTGTATCCAATTCATAGCAAAATCATGTCAATTCTACCTCCTAAAATCCACCCCAAACCATCCCTCTTCTTCATCCTCTTGCCACTTCGTAATTTATGCCTGGTCTCTTTTAGACTTCTGATGCACCTTCAGCACTGGTCTCTCTACTTTCAGTTTTGACCCTGTAAAATTCACCCCACATGATGCCACAGATCTAAGATATAAATTAGACCATGGCACTCAATCAATTTAAACTTTTCCATGGTGTTCACTGCCTACAGAATAACATCCAAGCTCATTAGTAGCAAGACCTTTATAGAAAGCTCTCTTTACACAAGGCCCACCATCACCTGGCCCTCTCTGTACCTCTCCAGGCTCATTTTCCTTTATTCCTTAATTTGAACTCAGTCTTACAGTAATGTTAAATTGTTTCAAGTTTCCACTGTGATGTCTTTCAGACATTCTATTTATTCAAAATAGAATCTCCTTCTTACCTTGTAATTCCTTTGCATTCTTTAAAACTCAGCTCAGCTCTCACCTCCACTGGGGAGCTTTCTGTGACTCTTCCTAATCTGACTAGGTGCCTCTCATAGGTTTTAATAGCAGCCTGTGCACACTTCTCTCTTAGCAGTAATGAAACTATACTGAGATTGGATACTTGATGGTCATCCCCATAAATTATACACTGTAAGCTCTTTTAGGACAAGGGCGTTTTAAAAGAAATATGTTTCCCCTGTAGCGTAGAACTTGGAAGGTTGTAAGTGCACAATAATACATGGAGTAAACTAGTATCACCAAAAAATTCTTACTTTTTTCTCCTTTATGGGTATAATTTGTGATTGTAAAGTTTCATTTTGAAAATCACCACTATTCAGAGTACTGATAGGCACATTATTTCTGTCTCTTGTGCTTATAAATTGGAAAATGACACAGTCATTTTCTCCCAATGCTCCTCCCATTTTTACATCACCAAACTTGTTCTTCTTTGATGGTGAAAGTGAAGTCCAGTGTATTATCAACTTTGTTAATGCATTCACATACTACACAATAAAAATGCCAGTGAAGTAGGTTGAAAACTTATCAGATGCTCTCCTTTTAGCAGAATTAAATGTCCAGCAAAGAATTTAGAACACATACCTCATGTCCAGTGTCTTAGCTTTGGAGCGAGCTTCTGTGTATAGACCAGGAAAATATCATCTATGTCCTTCTTTCTGTCTAGGCAGCATATAGACTATTCCCACAACATCTCTCCTGTTTTCGCCTCACTTTATTATCAAATAAATATTCTATCCCTGTGTCAGTCGGTGCCCCCCCCTCCCCACCCCCTGCCCCAGGCCACTTTTCATAGGGCTGTCCTGGGGAGTGATGTTTCTGTATCCACATAGCTCTTCTCTGCCTTTTTTATTTTTCTACATGAACTGGAGAATTGGTAACTAACAGACTTTAGAGGTCAACTCTGTCATTTCATTAATGAGAAAGCATAGCCCGTACAGGTAAAATGATTTGCCTAATATGAGTAATATTAACAACTAACATTTATTATATGCTTTCTGTGCTACATACTTTACATGTATTACCTTATTTAATCTACGTGACAACCCAATAGGGAAGTATTACTAGTATTCCTATTTCACAGACGAGGAAAATTAAGCTTGGAGAAATGAATTAATGTGCCCAAAGTCACACATCAAGTGAGAAGTAAATCAAGGATTCCAACTGAGGCAGTTTGACTCAAGAGCCATTTCATTTAACCACCAAGCTCTGCTGCCTAATACCAGAAAAAAAGCTACTTATTTTTCCATTGACTTAAAATATATTTTATCTTCATCTCTGATTGTTCTTCATTTGGCAATAGCTAGAGAATGCTGGCCAAATTGTTAATGGGCTTAATGGTCCACAAACAAGCTCTGCAATGTATAAGAGAGAACCTATTTCAGATGTTAAGAATTTTTATGTAATTCAAATTATCTGCAATGTGAGCATAGGCTTTCATATATCAACGTTCTTAGAATAAGAGCCACCTGTTTTAGAAAGGAGCAGTCCAGAAGATAGGAAGCACTATTTGTAATTAAAGTGGAAAATTCGCCATGGCTGTGAAGTTAAATTCAAAAGGGGCTGATTAAGAAAAGTAAAGAGAGTACTATTAGTCCTTTTAGTGCAAACTCTTTGTTTGCCCAAGCCAAACAGTTGCCATTTCTGAACAGAAATAAAACACCTGTTGCTTCAGAAAGGAAAATTTCAGACCTGGCTTTTTAGAGCTATTGCTGATAAGAGCTGACCATGAAAACCTTCCAAAAATGGACATCTGGGGCCAAAAGTTTATCTTCCCCTCTGTTTATTTTTCTTTATCTGTCCATGTACCTTAGCTGGAAATGTGGCTTGCAACTCTAGTCCAGGACTCACTCCCCTCTTCACTTCTGGAAGGGGCACTGGTTTCGGTGCAGCTGCTCTAGACAAACAGTGAGGCTCCCACTGGCATGATGAGCTCTGGCTCTAGGGGAACACAGAGAGAGGCTCTTCTGGTTTCTCCCCTCCTATGGTCTATCCAAGGGCCCTGACCGTTGGATTCTGTGGACTCTCCTCTATCCTTAGTGGACAGTGATTACTTAGAGAAAAACCATTTGCACAAACCAGTTAATGCCCAGCCTCAGCCCCGGTGCTGCTAGCCAGCTGACTCTATCCTCTTAAAGAGACACATTGACCATTTTCTCCTGCCATCAAGAGTAGGGATATTGGGGAATGTGTTCCTTCCTCGAGAGCAAACCACTTGAGGTACAAATCTGATTTTATCACTCTCTTGCCCATAGATGGCGCCCCATCACCTGTAGCTCTCCCGACTCCAGTGGATTTTGATTAATTGAGCCAGGAGTCCGCTCAGGAATTCGCATTTTTAACAAGCTTCCTAGGCGACCAACTGTCCCAGTGTACCTGGGACTGAGGTGTTTTCCAGGACTTGGGGCTTTCAGTGCTAAAACTGGAGAAGTCCTGGGCCAAATGGAATGAGTTGGTTAGCTTGTTTCTGGATAATTGTGATTTACAGCAGGAGTCTGCAGACTACAGCCCACGGGCCAATCCAGCTCTACACCTGTTTTTGTAAATAAAGTTTTACTGGAATGTAGACATGTTCACTGATTTACATATCTGCTATGGTTACTTTCGTGCTATAGTAGCAGAGTTGAGTAGTTGCGACAGAGAGGATATGACTCAAGAAACCTAAAATATGTATTATTTGCCCCTTTACAGAAAACATTTGCTGACTCCAACAATCTAATCCCTTCATCGTGAGTGGGCTGCCTTCCTCTCCAGCCTCATCTCCACTCTTCCCTTCTTCACTCTGATGGCACGAGGCATACTAATCTATTTATAGTTCCAGAAAAGTGCCAAATGCTCTTCCTTATACATGTTTCTTTTATCACATGCTGTTCCCTGTACCTGGAATGCTTTCCTCCCCACTGTGCTTGACTAATTCCTTCTGGTCCAACAGGACACAACTCAGGCAGACCCTTCTCCAGGAATTCTTCCCTGTCTCTGTCCCCACCCCCAGCCAGGTTCACTCGCACATGAAGCCTCCGGCACACATCTCAATCATTGCACTCACCACACTGTGCCAAAAGTGATTGCTTGCTTATTTGTTTCTCTATGAGATCCTTCAGGAAAAACACTGTGGCATATTCACTTTTATGACTCCATTCCTTAGCTTTACTCCTAGCATGGAAGAAACCCAGGAAATGTTTGTTGAATTGTGAGCCTATAAAATAGGAATAAGAATTTTCCCCTAGACACTTATCTGTTTGCATATCTTAGCTAGAAACTTAGGTTGTGGCTCCTGCCCGGAACTCACACCCTCTTCTCTTCTGGAAGGGGCACTGGTTTAGGTGCGGCTTCTCGAGACAGTGAGGTCCCCCTCATCCTGCTGGGCCCTGGTCTTGGGGTGGAGGCACATGTGGATAATATACTATTCCCTCCAGTGTGGAAATATACGGTAGCTATTGACTAGGAGTGGTGGCTTTTGTGAGTATACTTTTCTGGTCACAATAAGAATTGGAAGAACTGGGAGTTGGAAAGATTTTTTTTTTTCTGAGAATAATTTTTGTTTTCTTAGAAAACTCAAGGGGAAATATAGGAATCCCCTTTTCTCTCCTGCATTTTATCCTTTTCTTCCCCAGGCCTGCTTGTCTCCAAATATGCCAAATGTGATAATTTTTGGAGCAAACTGAGTTATAATGTGTTCTATGGCTTTAAACTAATAAAATGGCTTGAGATCAACAATGGCATCCAAAAAGTACTTGAAGGCATGCTTGTTTTTCCAAAATTTTTTTTTCTTTTAACAGGACTTTTTCTTTGTCTGTTGCTTTTAAATTCCCAGAAACTGTTTCTCCTAATGTTCTACTCCCAGAATTAGGACCCAAGTGCTGTTCAGTACAGAGTGCTAGATCTCTGTTTTCTATGATCTTCCAGGGGAAACTAAGGAGACCCATGGAGGAGCAGCTCATCCAGGAAACAAAAGGAGCCTGGAAAGCCACAGAGAAGGTAGGCGTCGTCAGGGCCCCAGCCTGAACAAGCTAGATGATGGTAGCTCTAGGTGGCAGCAACTAAGGAGAGAGTCCAGCATGAGGTGGGTTTGCAGGCCTAGACTTCACTCCTCAAAGTGGGTTTGGCAAGAGTTGGCAATCTGTTAGTGTTCAGGCTGCTGACTTTGCCCTCTGGGACCTTTTGTTCCTACAGCTCCCATGGGATGGACCCACTATCCGTCCACAAGGCACAAAACTGTGATAAAGAGAAAGCCTATAATCGAACGATCACAGCACTGGAGTCCCAGCCAGGACACATCCCAGATGTTGGATCCAGGGCAAGTTTTTTACCTTCCCAAGTCTCTGATCCTTCTTCTATAAAATGGGCATAATAGTTTATACCCAGGTTAAAGATTGAGATCATATATGGAAAAGTTTTTAAAGTTCCTGACATATTAGATACCCTAAGACAGTCCCCAAGTGGGGGATGCACGGCTCTGAGAAGATAGACAGAGGCTGTGTCTAGGTGGGAACCTCCGCCCTGCCCAAGAGGGCACTTGTCTGGCCAAGAGTCAAGGATGCTGGACTGAGCCTAACACTGCCTTCTTCCAGACTCCTCCAAAATCAGGACTAGCCTTCTTGGCCAGTGGCTCTTCAGGCCCAGCTGGAAGACAGGAATTAAGCAGACCCTGAGGAACACTGGACTGTTCTTCGTCTGGACCAGCCTGAGGGATTTTTTTTTCAGGTCCCTCTCCTCAGTCATCAGTTCTTTCCCATATTTAATGCTCCCTGGAGGATCTCACCAGCCCCTAAGGCTTCCAACACTCCCTATTATCTAAGGCCTTCCAAATCAGATCTCCAGCCTAGTCCTCTTCTAAGCTGGATACAGATGGACCCCCTATTTGCTGGAAAGCTACACTTTATATACCATAAGCACCCTAAACTCACCTCTAAAACTTAGCTCATGTTCTTTCTCTCCAACACTGGCTTCTCCGCATATGTTCCCAATACAAGTCAATGATATCATTCCCCCTTCTCTTGGCAAAGCCAGAAAAATGTGAAGTCATCCTAAGCCTCCTCCCTTTTTTGCCCCCTCTTCATATCTAGTCAACTACAGGGTCATTTATTTACTCATCAATTCAGCAAACATATATTGAGTGCTTGCCATGGGTAAAGCACTACACTGTGAGCCAGATAAAGAGTAGTGAACAAAATACACACGGTGTCTAACATCTATGAGGAGATAGATGTTCAGTGAATGAATATACAAACATAAGTTCTGATAAGTGTTATGAAGGAAAAGCATAGAGCATTTTAAGGACTATGACAAGAGGAACTGATTTATATTGGGAGGTCAAGGAATGTATATTAGTCCGGAAATCTTTCAATTACAAATAACAGAAACCCAATCTGAACAAGCTTAAGCAAAAAGAAAGAATGTATTGAAAAGATATTGCTGTGGTTCATAGAAGCAAAGAAGAGGTGGCAATCCCAGCTTTGAGAAGGCGGCAAGAGTGGATGATAAGGCCAGGTGCAGGGGCTCACGCTTGTAATCCCAACACTTTGGGAGGCCAAGGTGGGCGGATCGCTTGAGGTCAGGAGCCTAGACCAGCCTGGCCAACACGGTGAAACCTCATCTCCACTACAAACACAAAAATTAGCAGGGTGTGGTGGTGCACTACTGTAATCCCAGCTACTCAGGAGGCTGAGGTAGGAGAATTGCTTGAACCCGGGAGGCTGAGGTTGCAGTGAGTAGAGATTGCGCCACTGCACTCCAGCCTAGGCGACAGACTGTCTCAAATTAAAAAAAAAAGAAAAAGAAAAAGAGAGAGAGAGAAAAAAAAATGGATAAGATTCAGAGACTGGCACACTGTCAGAACTCTCTCTCTCCCCCCGTTTCTCCCCTCCATGACTCTCTGAGTTGGCCTCATTCTCTCCTACTGCAGACAAACTTTCTCCACACATCAGAGAACATGTTTCATAGCTGAGTGGCTCTCTGGTCCAAGGACAAAAGTGTCTTCCTTTTCATCTTCTGGTAGGAAAATCAGAGAAGAATTAGATGAATCATAGGAATAGGATACTTGAACTTGGCCCACTCCAAATCAGTTCCTATCCCCATAGCTAGGAATGGTGGTTCCTTAAAGAAGGAAGGGTAGGATGAGGTGAGGGGAGGCAAAAGACTTGTTTGAGGAAGTGACATTTAAAATAACATGAGACCTAAAAGAACAACAGGATTTAGCCAGGTTGGGGAAGAACATTCTAAACTTAAAAAAATCATTCATTTATGTAGCATGTATTTATTGAGTACTTACACATGCCTGAACATGGATATATAATTGAGCGCAAGAAGATACAGTCCCTGCCCTCTTGGAGTTTATAAGTGCAAAGATTTTAGGCAGGAAAAACTGGACCTCTCAGAGGACTGTAAGAAGGCTCAAGTGACTAGAGGACAGCGAGTGAGGAGATGAGCAGCACAGGTAAAGCTGGCAGAGAAGGAAGAAGTCATAGCAGGAAGGTTCTCGCAGGCCATACTAAGGTTTGGGATTTTACTCCTAGTGCAGTGGGAGATCATTGAAGAGTCTTATACTGAGGAACAACATGATCTGGTTTGTAATCTTAAACTATCACTTTAAACTTGTTTGTTAAAGGGATTTTGAGAAAATAAAAAGTTAAAGGACACTGGTTAGAAGGCTATGGCTATAGGGTAGGCAAGAAAGAATGGTGGTTTAAACTAAACAGACATGAAGAGGAAGGTGCATATGAGATATATCTCGATGTTTTAATAAATAATACTTGGTAATAGATTGGATGTGGGGGATGAAAGAGAAGAAGGAGATAAGACGATACCCAGATTTACAAGTAACTGAGTGGATGAAGGTTCCATTTACTGAGGTGGGGAGACAATAGGAGAATTCCATTTGAGGAAGAAATTTTGACCATGTTAAGTTTGAGATGTCTATGAGACATCTAAACAAAATGTGAAGTTGGCAGATGTGTATATATGTGTGTGTGCGCGCACGCGTGTGTGTGTATGATCAACTGATGTCAATATAGAGACATGGAATGGATAATCTCAATTAAGAATGGTGTAGCATAAAAGAAGAAACCCAGGATGGATCCCTAGGGAGCTTCAACATTTAAGATAAAGATAAATGTTAAGCAAAAAATATCTGGGAAGAAGCAATCAGAGACTATAGAATCAGAGTTTGGTATTGGAAAGCCAAGAAGAGAATATTTAATAATAGAGGTGATCAATGATGTCAAATGCAACTGAGATCAAACAAAACTATCATTTTCAAGTGTCTGTTGAACTTAGCAACCTAGAGGTCATTGATAACCTCCACAAGAGTAGTTTCTTTCTTTCTTTTCTTTCTTTCTTTCTTTCTTTCTTTCTTTCTTTCTTTCTTTCTTTCTTTCTTTCTTTTTCTTCGAGATGGAGTCTCACTCTGTTGCTCACGCTGGAGTGCAATGGCACAGTCTCAGCTCACTGTAACCTCCACCTCCAGGATTCAAGTGATTCTCCTGCCTCAGCCTCTTGAGTAGCTGGAATTACAGGTGCCTGCCACCACGTCCAGCTAATTTTTTGTATTTTTAGTAGAGATGGGGTTTCACCACGTTGGCCAGGCTGGTCTCAAACTCCTGACCTTGTGATCCACCCGCCTTGGCCTCCCAAAGTGCTGTGATTACAGGTGTGAGCCACCACGTCTGGCCCGCAAGAGTAGTTTCAGGGGAGTAAGATGTGGAGGTGGGAGAAAATGAATGGAGTATTAGACCGTTCTCACATTGCTACACAGAAAGACCTGAGGCTGGGTAATTAATAAAGAAAAGAGGTTTACTTGACTCAAGGTTTTGCAGGCTGTACAGGAAGCATGATGCTGGCATCTGCTCAGTTTTCGGGGAGGCCTCAGGAAACTTAAAATCATGGTGGAAGGCAAAGGGAGAGCAAGGCATCTCACATGGTGGGAGAAAGAGCAAGTAGGGGGAAGATGCTACACACTTTTAAACAACCAGATCTCATGAGAACTCACTGACTATTGTGAGGACAGTACTAAGGGGGATAGTGTCAAACCATTCATGAGAAATCCACCCCTATGATCCAATCACCTCCCACCAGGCCCCACCTCCAACATTGGGGATTACAATTCAACATGAGATTTGGTAGGGATACAGATCCAAACCATATCAAATGGGAAGCTTTTAAAATCATGAATAAGACAAAGATGCCTGCTAATGCTGCATTAGTTCACTATTATGTTAGAGGTCATAATCAGTGAAACAATACAAGAAAAATAAATAAAAGGCATAAGAATTTTAAAAGAAGAAACAAATTGGTCATTATTTGCAGATGACATAATGTCTACATGTAAAATTGAGAGTAATTTACTAATTACCAGAATAAGAAAATTTAGCAAAGTTGCTGGGTATAAAAATGATATACAAAAGTCTATTGTATTTGTCTACTAAATCCAAATAGAAATAATAATTCTTTAAAAATTAATATCTATTGTGGCAACAACCACAATAATAAAAAACAGAAGGCACATGTGTAAGATCTTTGTGGGAAAAAAAACACAAAAATTTATTAAAAGGCAATAGAGAAGATCCAAATAAGGGAATAGAAATGCTATGTTAATGATGAAAACCTCAATACCTGAAAGATGTTAGTTTCCTTAAGACATACTTGCTCCACCTTAAACGGAGATTAAGAGATTGCAGCTCCCACTCAAATGGACAGAGTAGTGTGTGGAGGCTTGCCTCGTGAACTTTAGACCCAGAACAACTTCAGGAATAAAACAGGAAAGCCAAGAGAACCCACACACCCTCTGAAGGAAGTGGATTGCTCCTGCAGGCTCCAAGAAACACCCCCACATACTGTGAGTGCCCAAACTGTGGAGGTGGGAAAGGGGGAATCTTCCATCCCCAAACACACACCCTCAGTCAGGAACCTGAAGGTCTAGAACACGGGAGAAGATTCTGACCTTACCTGGAGCTGAGTGAACTTAGAAAGCCAACCGAAATACAGGAGTAGAGGAAGCAGTGAGAAAAGCCCTGTGGACTTGCTGGGTCCCCTAGGAAGCCATTTCTGCCTTGCCTTACAGGGGTCCTTGGGGAGTGCTGGCAGAGGCAGTGGGAAAAGGCCAGTGAGAGAGAAGAAAACCTCCAGCTGAACTTTGTAATAATTTGAACTGATCGAGAAGTCTCCTGGCCAGAACTCAAGAGAGGGCGTGAATCTGGTGTGCAGACTCCAGAGGAGGGGGAAGCACGAATACCCTATTTGCTTTCACAGCTGGGAGGTGGGTAGCCTGGGGCGAGTTCTCAGCCCTGCTCGCCCACTGCCTGGAAACAGACTCAGTGCTGTTGGTGGTGGGCACCGTGGGAGGGGGCTATCCCATTGAGTTTCATGGGAGCTGGGTAAGTCCTGTGACTGCAGCTTTCCCCCACTTCCCTGACAACCTGCATGACACAGTAGAGGCAGCCATAATCCTCCTAGGAACAGAACTCCATTGACCTGGGAACTACACCCACATCCCCACAGCAGCCACAGCAAGACCCGCCCAAGGAGAGACTGAGCTCAGACAGGTCTAGCCCTGCCCCTACCTAATGGTCCTTCCCTACCCACCCTGGTAGCTGAAGACAAAGGGCACACATGCTCTTAGGAATTCTAGGGCCTTGCCCACCACCTGTTCTTCCCCATAGTACCACAGCTGATGCTCTCTTGAAAGCACCATCTCCCAGCAGGAGGCCAACCAGCACAAAAGATAGTGCATTAAGAAACCAAAACTAAGGACCCTCACAGATTCCATTTCACCCCCCTGCCACTTCCACTGGAGCAGGTGCTGGTATCCACCACTGAGAGACCCACAGACAGTTCACATCACAAGACTCTGTGCAGACAACCCCCAGTACCAGCCTGGAGCCTGGCAGACTTGCTGGGTGGCTAGATCCAGAAGAGAGTTAGTGATCACTACAGCTCAGCTCTCAGGAAGCCACATCCATAGGAAAAATGGGAGAGTACTACATCAAAGGAACACCCTGTAGGAAAAAGAATTTGAACAACAGCCTTGAGCCCAAGACCTTCCCTCTGACAGAGCCCCCCGAAATGAGAGGGAACCAGAAAACCAACCCTGGTAATATGACAAAACAGAGTTCTTTAACAACCTCCCCAAATCACACTAGCTCACTAGCAATGGATCCAAGCCAAGAAGAAATCCCTGATTGACCTCAAAAGGAATTCGGAAAGTTAGTTAATAAGCTAATCAGGGAGGCATCAGAGAGAGGTGAAACCCAATTTAAGGAAGTCAAAAAAAAAAAAAATACAAGAAATGAGAGGAGAAATTTTCAATGAAATAGATAGCATAAATAAAAAACAATCAAAACTTCAGGAAACAATGGATGTACTTACAGAAATGCAAAATACTCTGAAAAGTCTCAGCAATAGAATCGAACTAGCAGAAGACAGAAGACAGAACTTCAGAGGGTGAAGACAAAGTTTTTGAATTAACTCAATTCAACAAAGACAAAGAAAAAAGAATACAAAAATATGAACAAAGCTGCCAAGAAGTCTGGGGTTATAGTACATGAACAAACCTAAGAATAATCAGCATTCCTGAGAAAGAAGAGAAATCTAAAAGTTTGGAAAACATATTTTGGGGAATAATCGAGGAAAACTTTCCTGGCCTTGCTAGAGACCTAGACATCCAAATACAAGAAGTACAAAGAACACCTGGGGAATTCATTGCAAAAAAGATCATTGCCTAGGCACATTGTCATCAGGTTACCTAAAATTAAGATGAAGGAAAGAATCTTAAGAGCTGTGAGGCAAAAGCACCAGGTAACCTGTAAAGGAAAACCTATCAGATTAACAGATTTCTCAGCAGAAACCCTACAGGCTAGAAGGGAATGGGGTCCTATCTTCAGCCTCCTTAAATAAAACAATTATCAGCCAAGAATTTTGTATCCAGTAAAACTAAGATTCATAAATGAAGAAAAGGTTACAGTCTTTTTCAGACAAACAAATGCAGATAGAATTTGCCACTACCAAGCCAGCACCACAAGAACTGCTAGAAGGCGCTCAAAATCTTGAAATAAATCCTGAAAACACATCAAAACACATCGTCTTTAAAGCGTAAATCTCACAGGACCTATAAAACAAAAATACAATTTAAAAAATCAAGGTAAACAGGTAACACAGCATGATGAATGGAATGGTACTTCATATCTCAATACTAATGTTGAATGTAAATGGCCTAAATGCTCCACTTAAAAGATACAGAATTGCAGAATGGAGAAGAATTCACCAACCAACTATCTGCTGCCTTCAAGACTCGTCTAACACATAAGGACTCACATGAACTTAAGGTAAAGTGGTAGAAAAAGACATTCCATGCAAACGGACACCAAAAGTGAGCAGGAGTAGCCATTTGTATATCAGATAAAATAAACTTTAAAGCAACAGCGGTTAAAAAAGACAAAGAGGGACATTATATAATGATAAAAGTCCTTGTCCAACAGGAAAATATCAAAATGCTAAATGTATATGCACACCTAATATTGGAGCCCCCAAATTTATAAAACAATTTCTACTAGACGTAAGAAATGAGATAGCAACACATTAACAGTGGGGGACTTCGATACTCCACTGACAGCACTAGACAGGTCATCAAGACAGAAAGTCAACAAAGAAACAATAGATTTAAACTATGCCATAGAACAAATGGACTTAACAGATATTTACAGAACATTCTACCCAACAACGGCAGAATACACATTCTGTTCATCAGCACATGGAACTTTCTCCAAGATAGACCACATAATAGGCCATAAAATGAGCCTCAATAAATTTAAGAAATTAACTTCAAAAGGAACCTTCAAAATCATGCAAATACACGGAAATTAAATAACCTGCTCCTGAATGATCAGTGGGTCAACAATGAAATCAAGATGGAAATAAAAAAATTCTTCAAACCAAATGACAATAGTGACAAAACCTATCAAAACTTCTGGGATACAGCAAAGCCAGTGCTATAGGAAAGTTCACAGCTCCAAATGCCTACATGAAAAAGTCTGAAAGAGCTCAAAGAGACAATCTAAGGTCACACCTAAAGGTGTTCTAGAGAAGCAAGAACAAACCAAACCCAAACCCAGCAGAAGGAAAATAACCAAGGAAAGACCAAAGGAAATAACCAAGATCAGAGCAGAACTAAATTAAATTGAAACAAAAAAACACAAAAGCTAAATGAAACAAAAAGCTGGTTCTTTGAAAATATAAATAAAATGGATAGACTATTAGCAAAATTAGCCAAGAAAAGCAGAGAGAAAATCCAAATAAGCTCAATTAGAAACAAAATGGGAGCTATTACAACTGATACCAGAGAAATACAAAAGATCATTCAAAGCTACTATGAACACCTCTACATGCCTAAACTAGAAAACCTACAGGAAATCGATAAATTCCTGGGAAGATATAGCCCTCCTAGCTTAAATCACAAAGAATTAGGTACCCTGAGCAGATTAAAAACAAGCAGCAAGATTGAAATGGTAACTAAAAAATTACCGACAAAAAAACCTCAGGACCAGATGGATTCACAGCAGAATTCTATCAGACATTCAAAGAAGAATTGGTACCAATCCTATTGACACTATTCCACAAGATAGTGAAGGAGAGAATGCTCCCAAAATCATTCTATGAAGCCAGTATCACCCTAATACCAAAACTAGGAAAGGACATAACCAAAAAAGAAAACTACAAACCAATATCCCTGGTGAACATAGATGCAAAAATCCTTAACAAAATACTAGCTAACCAAATCCAACAACATATCAAAAAGATAATATACCATGATCAAGTGAGTTACATACCAGGGATGCAGGGATGGTTGAACATACACGAGTCAATAAATATGATACACCACATAAACAGAATTGAAAACAAAAATCACATGATCATCTCAATAAATGCAGAAAAAGCATTTGACAAAATCCAGCACTCATCAATAATTAAAACTCTCAGCAAAATTGGGATACATGGGGCATACCTCAATGTAATAAAAGCCATCTATGACAGACTCACAGCCAACATAATACTGAATGCGGAAATGTTGAAAGCATTTTCTCTGAGAACAGGAACAAGACAAAGATGCCCACTCTCACCATTTGCATTCTACGTGTGCTGAATGGAATGGTACTTCATATCTACATAGCACTGAAAGGCCTAGCCAGAGCAATCAGACAAGAGAAAGAAATAAAGGGCATCCAAATCAGTAAAGACGAAGTCAAACTGTTGCTGTTTGCTGACGATATGATTGTTTACCTAGAAAACCCTAAAGACTCTTTCAGAAAGCTCCTAGAACTGATAAAAGAATTCAGCAAAATTTCTGGATACAAAATTAATGTACACAAATCGGTAGCTCTTCTGGTAATGGCGACCAAGCTGAAAATCAAATCAAGAATTCAACCCCTTTTACAATAGCTTCAATACATACATACATACATACATCATTAGGAATAGACCTAACCAAAGAAGTGAAAGACTTATATTAGGAAAACTACAAAACACTGCTGAAAGAAATCATAGATGACACAAACAAATGGAAATACATCTCATGCTCTTGGATGGGTAGAATTAATATTGTGAGAATGACCATACTGCTCAAAGCAATCTACAAATTAAATGCAATTCCCATCAAAATACCACCATCATTCTTCACAGAACTAGACAAAAAAATCCTAAAATTCATATGGAACCAAAAAAGAGGCTGCATAGCCAAAGCAAGACTAAGCAAAAAGAACAAATCTGGAGGCATCACAATACCTGATTTCAAACTATACTATAGGGCCATAGTCACCAAAACAGCATGGTCCTGGAATAAAAATAGTCGCATAGACCGATGGAACAGAATAGAGAACCCAGAAACGAAGCCAAATACAGCCAACTGTTCTTCAACAAAGAAAACCAAAACATAAAATGGGGAAAAAACAACCTATTCAACTAATGGTGTTGGGATAATTGGCAAGCCACATGTAGGAGAATGAAACTGGATCCTCATCTCTGACCTTATACAAAAATCAACTCAAGATGGACCAAAGATTTAAATCTAAGACGTGAAACTATAAACATTCTAGAAGATAACATTGGAAAAACCCTTCTAGTCATTGGCTTAGGCAAGGATTTCATGACCAAGAACCCAAAAGGAAATGCGACAAAAACAAAGATAAATAGCTAGGACTTAATTAAACTAAAGAGCTTTTGCATGGCAAAAGGAACAGTCAGCAGAGTAAACAGCCTACAGAGTCGGAGAAACTCTTCACAATCTATACATCTGACAAAGGACTAATATCCAAATCTACAAGGAACTCAAACAAATCAGCAAGAAAAAACAATCCCATCAAAAAGTAGGCTAAGGACATAGACAATTCTCAAAAGAAGATATACAAATGGCCAACAAACATAAAAAAATGCTCAACGTCACTAATGATGAGGGAAATGCCAATCAAAACCATAGTGTGATACCACCTTACTCCTGCAAGAATGGCCATAATAAAAAAATAATAGATGTTGGTGTGGCTGTGGTGAACAGGAAACACTTTTGCACTGCTGGTGGGAATGTAAACTAGTACAACCACTATGGAAAACAGTGCAGGCATTCCTTAAAGAACTAAAAGTAGAACTACCATTTGATCTAGCAATCCCAATAGTGGGTATCTACTCAGAGGAAAAGAAGTCATTATGCAAAAAAGAATCAATGTTCTTTTGTCACATGTTTGTAGCAGCACAATTGGCAATTGCAAAAACATGGAACCAACCCAAATGCCCATCAATCAACGAGTGGATAAAGACACTATAGTTATATATACATGATGGAATACTACTCAGCCATAAAAAGGAATGAATTAATGGCATTTGCAGCGACCTGGATGAGATTGGAGACTATTATTCTAAGTGAAGTCACTCAGGAATAGAAAACCAAACATCGTTATGTTCTCACTATAAGTGGGAGCTAAGCTATGTGGATGCAAAGGCATAAGAATGACACAGTGGACTTTGGGGACTAGGGGGAAAATGTGGGAAGGAGGTGAGGGATAATAGACTACTAATTGTGTTCAGCTATACTGCTCGGGTGATGGGTGCACCAAAATCTCACAGATCACCCCTAAAGAGCTTACTCATGTAAGCAAACACCACCTGTTCCCCAATAACCTATGCAAATAAAAACTTTTAAAAATAAAAATAAAAAAATACAAAGATTAAAGGACAGGAAAATACTGGAGTCATTTAAAGCTATGTACATAATTTAATGTTCTCTGGGCAATTCTTTCATCTTTCCAAAAAAATGCTTCGCAACTCCAAATATCTATATAAAAGGTCTTCTTTACATCAAAAAAGGAGATTAAAAATAAAATAAAATGAATGCAGATGCAGGAATGTATATAGATCTGGTAATAGACAATAGATATTTCTTAAAATTCCATGTGGTCACTATCATATTCATTTTTACAGGCTGCTCCCACTTTCTAGAATTTTCTTCCACCTTATCTATTTGACAAGCTTCTATTTATCCTTTAAAACCCTGGGCAACACTGATCTCCCCTGCTTTTCTCAGCCTCCACAAATAGAATCTCTTATTTATTTAATGAGCTGCTTCTGAATCTTATGCTTACTTTGATTATTGCTCAGGACACAGTGCATTCTAAGTATGTATTTATGTGACTGCCTGAAGCTAGACTTTCACCAGCAGAGCTCATGTTCTAGGGAATAATCAGAAAAGAAGGTCAGCTATGGAGTCTCCAAAAGGTCTGTGTAAGTTCTCAATAAATATCTTTTGAATCATAAAGTACATAGACTTAGCCCACGCCCACAGGGAGAATACTGAGCAAATCATCTGCTCTCCACTGTTTTCTCCCACCATCCTGATCTGGCTCCTGTGTGACTCTGGAAATAGCCTGAGAATCTGAGCATCTGGATGCTGAAAACCCAGGCGTAGGAGCACTCCCAGTGGGAGAAGTCAGAGGATCGCCTGCTCCAAAGTCCCTGGCCAGGTGCTTCAGTACCTTTCACACCAAACAGACTGTGCAGAGAATGACTATTTTCCTTCCCAAAGGCTCTCTAGCCTCCACAGAGCATTCCTTTTGGAACAGAATGACCAGGGCATTGTTTACAGATTGCAGGAGAGGCGGGACTGGCAGGAAACTTAGAACTAGTCACAAATACTGCCATCAAGTCACCATAAATCAGAAATGCAGGAAAGAAATCTCTTGAGATAGCAGTTTTAAGCGATGAGGCAATATGATTTATTTAACAAAAAAATTAACTTCTCATTTAGTTTTAAGCAACGAGGCAATATGATTTATTTAACAAAAAATTAACTTCTCATTTAGTTTTAAGCAAACCCATAAATTTTATCAAGGCAAAGGAACCTGTATACTCTCTATAGTTGTTGTAGTATAAATTCTGTATTTATGGAACAACCTTGACTTCCACACTTGAGGACAGTTTGTAATCTTGAGGACAGTAACATAGTTTACAAAATTATGCATTGACACAAAGCTTTACAGATGATAGGGCCCACTGAGGACAAACTGATAGATGAATGTGGTGAAGCAGAAGATATATAGAGAGATATATAGATATGGTTAACAACTTCATGTTTTAGTAAAGTAGGTAAGAGTTCTCCCAGTCATTCCCAATAGTGTTTGCTGGTATCACATTCTTAAATGTATAAAAGAAATTTAAGCATTTTGCCTTAAAATGATTCTAATGAGGCTCTCTCTATACTGGTTCCAAGGGCTGGGACACAGCTGATGATGTGATGCTGAGCAGAACTGTTCTCTAGAAGGTTAACAAGACTTGTGTTCTAAAAGCAAATACTCTGAGCATCTACATGTGCCAGGTTATTGTCAAGGCACTGGAGGTGAGCCATGTATAAATCTTTGAAGGAAACCACAATCTGTTGTGGAAATAAATTTGCACAAAAATAAAACCAAAAAGGGATAGAGAGGAAAGCGGAAACACTGAATGAGAGTTGAGCTTGTAACTCCTGGTCCTGGGTTGCAAAAGTGGCCTCTGCTGTTGGAAATATCGAAGAAGGACCTAATTGGAAGAAAAAGAACAGAACAGATGGAGAGGCCACAGTTTTGTTTTGTTTTGTTTTGGTAATAGTGCTTTTTGCTAATTTTTTAATCAAATACATGAACATGCCTGAATGGTAAGGAGATATTTATAATGAAAAGCAACACACTGCCCACCTCTATTGATGCTTCCTAGAGATAACCACGTTTAACTCTTTTAACTGTTTATTCTGGATATACAATCTGCCTCTACCACTATTTCTTAATTTACCAATTTGGAGTCATACCCATTGACTTTCTGCTCTCCTGGATGAGATTTAAGTCTCTAGCTCCATCTTTGCCAATCTAGATCCTCCAATGTAGTTGTCAGTATTTTAAGTTCCTTGAATAAAGGAATGAAATAAAGTATTCATGACTTTATTTCTTTTCCATTCACCATGACAGTATTTTCCAATTCCGCATTGTTATAGACAGTCTGTGTCCTCCAAAAATACACATGTTGAAACCCTAATCCCCAATGTGACTGTATTTGGAGATAGGGCCTTTAAAAAGGTAATTGAGGTAAATGAGGTCATAAGAGTGGGAACATAATCCAATAGGACTGGTGTCCTTATAAGAAGAGGAAGAGACATCAAGAATGTGCATGTGCAAAAGAAAGGCCATGTAAGGACACAGTAAGAAGAGGGCCATGTGCAAGCCAAGGAGAGCAGCCTCAGGAGAAACCAACTCTGCAGACACCTTGACCTTCGACTTCCAGGCTCCAGAACTGTGGGAAATACATTTCTGTTCTTTAAGCAACCCTGTTTGTGGTATTTTGTTATGGTAGCCCTAGCAGACTAATATACCTACTTTGTAATATTAGAATCATTTATTTGCATTATAATAACTATATTTTTATTTTCCATAACTTCTTTCTGTTCCATGATTGTCCCTTTTTCATTTGATTCTGATCTTGTTTGCTGGCTTTGATATGTCTCAAAATCATTCGAAGAATAATAATTATAAGTTTTAAAAAGTTTTTTCTGCAACAAGGATTTCATTTTAAAGGAATAAAAAAAAGAACGGTAAGTAAATAAATGTTTTTCTTTTCTCCAGCTATTTTCTTGGTTTATTTTCATGTCTCTCTTTTCTATTGCAGGACTTCCTCAAATGTCTGGAGACCTTTAATTTACCCAAGAGAAATTACTGTTACAATTTGGGAAATTTCCTTTCTGCTTTTTCTTTACTAGTGTAACTTTATGTATAAAAATGATATAAAATATTGGTATGAACATCTGGGGCTCTAAAATGTTACAGATGTCAGTGACACACTCAGACCTCTCAGACACTCAGAATATTTCCCTTTGCCTTCTTAATGGAGAAAACAGTGATTCTATTAAACCTGCCTAAAAATAACTGAATATAACAAGAAAACTACAGAACAATATCCCTCATAAACATAAATGCAAAATTTCTAAACAAAATTTAAGCAAATCAAATTTAACAATAAGTTAAAATATAATGGATTATGACCAAGTGGAGTTTATCCTAAGAATGCAAACTTGGCTTAACATTAAAAAACCAATCAAGGTAGCTAACTGTATTATTAAATTAAATGTAAAAGGAAAACCATACGATCATCTCAATAGACATGGGAAAAGCATTAGACAAAAATTAATACCCGTTCAGGAAAAATATTATCAGCAATTTAGAGATGTAAAGGAAGTTCTAAACCTGATAAAGGGCATCTATGGAAAAAACAAAACCCTATGGCTTATATTTGCTATAGAAAGACTGGATACTTTTTCCCTAAGACAGTGAAAAAGGCAAGGATGTCCATTCCTACCACTTCTATTCAACATGATAGTGGAGGTCCCAGCCAATGCAATGAGGCAAGTAAAAGAAATAAAAGGCATACAGATTGGAGAAGAAGAAGTAAAGCCAGCAACATACGGAGACACTATCACTACAAAAAATTTAAAAAAGTAAATAGCCAGGCATGGTGGCATCCATGGGTGGTCCCAGCTACCTGGGAGGCTGAGGTAGGATCCCTTGAGCTCAAGAGGTCAAGGCTGCAGTGAGCTGTAATTGTGCTACTGTGCTCCAGCCTGGGTGACAGAGCAAGACCATGTCTTAAAGGAAAAAAAAAAAAAAGGAGAAAAAGAAGTAAAGCTAGATTTATTCACAGACAACATAACCATCTATGTTGGAAATCCTAAGTAATCTACAACAATGGTACTGTAAATGATAAATAAGCTTAGCAGGGTTGCAGAATATAATGCCAATATACATAAATCAATGGCATTTCTTTGTATTAGAAATAAGCAATTGATAAAGGAAATTTAAAACAATACCATTTACACTAGCATAAAAATATGAAATGCTTAGGGACTGATTTAACAATATGTGTACTCTGAAAACTACAAAATGTTGAAAAGAGACATTTAAAATACCTAAATAAATGGAGAGATATACCAGGCTCCTAGATTGAAAGAGCCTGCTATATCTCTCTCTTTATTTAAGTATTTTAAATAAATTCAATATTGTTAACATGTCAATTCACTGCAAATTGATCTACAGATTTAACATAATCTCAATCAAAATCCCATTAGGCTTCTTTTTTTGTAAAAATTAACGAGCTTATTATAAAATTTATATAAGAATACAAATGAGCTAGGATAACCAAAACAATTTTAAGAAGAGGGGAACAATATTGGAGGGCTTACATTCCTGATTCAAGATTTATTATAAAGCTACAGTCATCAAGACAATGTGGTATTGACATCAAGATATACAAATAGATCAATGGAATCCCATGGAGAATCCAGAAATACATCCAAATAAATATGGTCAACTGATTTTCAAAAAAATGCAAAGACAATTCAGTGGAGAAAGAATATCTCTTCAACAAATGGTGCTGAAACAATTGGATATCTACATAAAACAACAAATAACTTCAATCCACACCTCACACTATATTCAGAATTAATTCAAAAATTAACTCAAGATCTAGCTGATCTAAGTCTAAAAGATATAAATATATAATAAAGATCTAAATAATGTAAATTTAAATGATCCAAAAGATCTAAAGCTAAATCTAAAACTATGTAACTTCCAGAAGAAAATCTAGGGGAAAATCTTTGTGACACTGGATTAGACAAAGATTTCTTGGATACAACAACAAAGGAAACTGACTTTGTCAAAGTCAGTCAGGTCTGCTCTTCAAAAGACACTACTAAAAGAATAAAAAGCCACAGACTGGGAGAAAATATTTGAAAGTCACATACCTAATAAAGGACTTGTATCCAGATATAAAAGGAACTCTAAAACTCAATAATAAGAAAACAAAATTTTTAAAATAGGCAAAAGATTTGAACAAGTATTTTATCAAAAAAGATAATGGATAGCAAATAAGCACATAAAAAGATACTTTATTGCACACCATGAGGGGAAAGCAAATTAAAACCACAATAAGACACTACTATGTACCTATCAGAATGTTTAAAATTAAGAACACTGGCCATATCACGTGTTGGTAAAGACATGGAGGAACTGGAATTCTCACACATTGCTGGTGGGAATGTGAAATGGTACAGTCACTTTGGAAAACATTTTGGCTTTTTAAGAGTTAAACATATACTGACCACATGATCTACCCATTCCATTCCTAGGTATTTACCCTAGAGAAAGTCTACATAAAGGTTTATATGTGGATGTTCATAGCTTTATTTATAATAATCTTTAATAACCCCAAACTGGAAACAAATCTGGTATATTCCTAAAATGGGATACTCTTCAGCAATAAAAAGGAACAAACCATTGTGATACATTCAACAGCAGGAATGAATCTTAAAATAATTAGGCTAACTG